>NC_000001.11:59402319-59553835 GCF_000001405.40 Homo sapiens | reverse complement strand
TTTTCTGCTCACTAAATACCAGGCACTATGCTACATATTTGCATACATGGTCTCATTTTAACACTATCATAGATATTATTAATGTTAGACATCAGAGGAGAAACTAAGGTCTGCAGAGGTTAACTGACTTGCCCAAGGTCACTGCTAAGAAGGAGCGGAGCCAAATGGAATCTGGTTTAACACATCACATCTCAGTCCCAAAGAAGCAAAAGCAAAGGATGGTCTGATGACTGAATCTTTCTGGCATCCCTAGGTCACCATTCTTACTACTACTTATCGCAGAACTCCAATTGTGAAGGAGAGAATGACTGAGAGCGAGTTCCTAGTAACAGAATGCCAAATAGCAGAGGGTTTCCCATAAATGGTATAAATTCAGGCTTCTTCCCCATAGAGCTCGTATTCCTTGATACTTGCAGGGCAACTAAAGTTATAAATATGACAAGAAAGCTAGAAAGACTCTTTAGGGCCTGGAATTGTATTCATTTGTTCAAATATCCAATAAGCCCCTTCTATGCACAAAACGATATATACTAGGTGTGATGTGGAAGCCACAAACACGCAGACTTGCAGGACTACAACACAAAGCTGGGGGTGGAAAGTGCTCAGGCAGGACGCAGAGACTTGGACACAGGAGAGAACAGGTCCTGCTGACCTCATCAGCTCCCAGGCAATGCCACGTTTGCTCTCAATCTCTAATCCTTAATGCTGTTTCCCACCTCAAGACCTTCACATTTGCTCTTCCCTCTGCCTGGAATGCCATTCCCCCAACCTCGCTGTCAGGCCGACTCCTAATTATAGGGCTTCCCTGACCCTCTAGGACAGACGATTCTCCCTGTTAAATAGTCTCATGCAATGGACTTCCCTAGCACAAAAGACATGGGTAATTTTAAAACATCATATATCCCATCTGCCTCCCTTCTATAATAAAAGTTGCTAGTAGCTGGCACTCTTACTTACATGCATAGCCCAGGACCTACCACAGTAGCTAGCTCAATACAGGAAGTAAGAGTACAAATGCTTGGGGATGCAAGGATGAAGAAGACAAGTCCCTGCTCACAGTCTGGTGGGAAGGAGATGGAAGCCTAAATGGAGTATTTCAGTGCAGGGAAATCAGTGTATCACAGGAGGGGCCACAAAGGCAGCTAACCCACCTATAGGGGCCCAAGGAAGTTCAGTCTATACTCAATTCTGCAGAAGTTAGCCAGGTAAACGGCAGGGTGGGAATGTCTCATCAGACCACAAATCCCCAGATACTGAAGGCACTGGCTGCTCAGATACTTGCTAGAAAGTAATGTGAGAAAAAGGCCAGAGACAGGCCTCTTACAGCTTTCGAGGGTTTTCCACTGCTTTTTCCAAATTCTACCTTCTGGGGCACAGCAACCTGTGAATCTCTGCTATTGTTCAGAGGTCTAGCAACAGGGGGAAGTAAGACTCTTCCAAACTTTCTGTGTTAGTTATCACAGTAGTTACATATCCACAACCAGGCAATAGAAGTCTGAGACTTTAGCCTGCAAGAATCCTTGGCCTATGTGTTTTCAGATCAAGTCCGCTGCTCTGCTCAGTATTGTGGGGCTACCCCTGCAGGCAAGGGGAAGCAAGAGCCTATCTACTTCTCTTCTGTGCCAGGCAGCAGCTGCTTCCCCTCCACCACTCGGGCTCTGTTGACAGGGCTGCCATGGCTCCAGCATCGGCTGGTGTCCCCTGCCCTCAGACTATGAGAACACCACCTCCCTCCTCCCTCCTTAGTCCCTCCAGCCTGGGGATGGTAGCTGCTTCCATTTCACTGATCTCTGATTTGCTTCACAGGGAATGTAGCCCTTCTCAGCTCCTCCATCATCAGGATCGCCATTTTTGGGTATTAAGTTACTGGTTTTTTAAACAATTAGAGTGGTTTGTGTTTTGCTGAGTGAATCCTGAGTGACACGATTCTCCATTCAGGGCACAAAGGCTTTTGTACAGGAATAACCCAAGATATGAGCTCATTTTAACTGAGCTCTTTTTACATGCTCTTTCTATACATGTCTCATTTTATTCTTACAACAAACTAATGTCATTGGTATTAGTATTATCCTCATTTTATGGATAAGAAAATCGAAGCTTAGAAATGAGTAGTAACTTCACCAGGGTCATGCAGCTCACAAGGAACTGGGCTGTGATTCACATTCAGGTAATCTGATTCCAAAGTGCTGGTTCTTCCCCACCAAGACTCACAGGTTTTTCTCTAAGATAAAAATCCAATAGCCAGGCAACCAATGTTCACTTATCTGTACATCTCAAAATCTTGGGATCTTAAATATATTGATTCTGAGATCCTTGACAGAAAAGGAGTTGGCCACGCTGCTCCACAGTATCATAAATAGGTTCAAGGAATTCCTGAGAATCACCCACATTTACTGGTTGCATAAACATAAAGTACAGGCAAAGTTAATGTTACAGGGTCAGTCAATACGAAAAGGGAATTAAAATGAAGGAAAAAGAAATGTGTAGGAAATATTTATTTGTTTCTTCTTGGGTTGGCAGATTCACTGCTGCTATATCTAGACTTAGAACCTGAGAACTAGTGTGCTATTATGAGAAAAGGATGGAATTTGGAGACAGAAGGATCTGCTATAAAATGAGGAAAATCACAACATCACATGGTTGTTGTGATATTGCAGAAATGCTTAAAAAGAGATGTTTAATGGTAGCTCTGTCACCATCATCACTACCATCACTCTCTCCACCACCACCATCATCACCATCATCATCATCTGAACCCCCTCTCAAGAGACAACTGGATTCTTCCTTTCTAGTAAACATATCAACATCAAAGATAGGCTGGGTACTGTGCTGAGCTCCTTGAATGTTCTCTCATTTAATCTTTGCAACATCCATAAAAGGTAAACATTCTTTCTTCCTCTTAATAGATGCAGAAGTAGAAGAACAGAGCAGAGTGTTCAGGTAACTTGCCCAAGGCCACATGGATTTAAGAAGCAGTGCCAGGATTTGACCTTGTTCTGTCTGACTCCAAAGCTTATGTTCTTTCTATACTCCTCACTTTATGATGTTATAATTGTCTTACATAATGAAAACATACTTGGAAGTGCTAGTTCACCATGAAACTCAGTGAGAGCCATGGGCTAAGAGTTAGAAAAACAAGAGTTTCAGCCCCAATTCTGCCACAAATGGCCTAAAAGTTTGAACTGGTTCTCTCATCCCCACAATGAGAGAAATGAATTACAAATGGAGGTCCTTCCTCAGCCATTCTCAGTATATACACAGTGCTTCTCCTAAAATACAAGCTGAGGTATCTCCTTACCTAAAATTATATATATTGGGCAGGACTGGCCTCATTTCCCCTCAAGAGGTTCTCTACACTCTGCCTAATGTCCACCCCAATTCAGCAGCCATGCATAGCTGATGTTCACTGCAAGACCACATGAGTCGGAGAGCTGACATCTTATTTTTCCTTTGGCCACACAGTGCTTTGATGGGCTATCCCCGAGAAAAGAGGTTCAGAGATAAGCAGGGAAAAGCAAGAAAAGGTGGGAGGAGCTTTCTTCTTTCCGGAGAAACATATTTTGCCATCCACAGAGAACTCACAGGCTGCATGTGTACATCAGGAAACAATTTGACACAAGTGCAGCCCTCGGTACCGCTGGGGCCCTTCATATGACCATACCAGTGTCAGTTTATTCTGCAATCCTCAAAATGTTTAAGGAGAAAAATTAGCAGATGAAGAAACAGGCATAAAAAAACAGTGACATCATCAACTGTGTTTTCCCTGAAACTTGCACAATGCCCAACTGATGGCAGTTGCTCAATAAATGTTTG
Organism: Homo sapiens; assembly: GCF_000001405.40. Lineage (NCBI taxonomy): Eukaryota > Metazoa > Chordata > Mammalia > Primates > Hominidae > Homo > Homo sapiens. The sequence continues at coordinate 59,550,022 of NC_000001.11, read as the reverse complement.
TTGAACTAAAAAACAAATAGCAGAAAAACAGGCTAACTCAATGAATTAAATGTCTCCCAACCCTCCATGTAACACACATAGTTCATATCAAGCAATGTTTAAAAAGAATGTTAAAAAAGGAACATTTAAAACTTCATGAACAGCTCTCTTATTTAATATGCTGTCTCCCTTCATCTCTCCCATTCATCCAACCAACAATACTTCCACCCAAGCATTGAGTCCCTACTATATTTATGTAAAATAAAAAAGAGACTTTGCAAATGTTATGATTAAGAGTACATTTTCCTATAATTTATCACGCTGTGGCAGTTTTGAAAGCTTACAAGGTTATATAGAAGAAAAACATCCTGAGTTCTCGCATTTGTGTTATAATTATCTCCCACTTTATAGCCATATAAAGTACTTTATAGCTTGCAAAGTATCCTCAAACACTGTAACCTTCAATTAGTCCTTAGAAAATCCTGTGATATGTGTATTTTATTTCCAGTTCACAGTTGAAGAAATTGAATTTCAGAAAGGTGAAGTAATTTAGTCGAGTTTATTTAGTAACTTAGAGGTAGAAGTTGGACTCAACTAGGATTTTCAGTCTTTGAGTCTGATGTGTTGGCATCTTGAAAAAGATTCTCTTTTAATAACCTCAGGCACCTTCTCTGAAGTATCAAAAAGGATAAGAAGGGTTTTGAACATTATTTAAGACTACATCTGTTTGAGACTCTTGATTCAGTCATTTGGATGAATGAACTGACTGATGAATCCCATCCAGTGAGTTTCTTGCCAAAGCTGGCTGGGAGGTTTCTGGAGTTCCTGGAGAGGAAGGGCTCCAGAGAAGACTCTCTAGTGACCACCAGCTTTATACATGCAAATTGACAACTGTATGCTTCTGGAAGGATAAGAATCATATCAAAGACGTGTTCTCTGCAGAAGACTTAACACCAGACTACATACACGCAGACACTGAAGTCCATTATTTTGACTAACATTCATTTATGTTAAACAGAACACAATATATTGAGTTAGTATTATGGCACAGTGCTTAAAAATAAGGACTCATTCATCATGTGATTTCTTATCTTCTTTATGTTTCTTATCTTCCTTATGCCTCAATTTCCACATCTCTACAATATGAATAGTATCCTCCTCACAGATTATAAAAATTATATATGTTAATATAGGTGTAAAGTACCCATAACAGTGCTAATAAGAGCATTCTGTGATGATGGAAATGTTCTATATTTGCACTGTCTGATACAATAGATACCAGACACATGTGGCAATTGAGCCCTGAAAATGTGGCTAGTACAACTGAGGACTGAATTTTTTATTCTATCCTAATTAATTCACATTTAAGTAGCAACATATAGCTAGTGGATATTATATTGAACGGTACAGGTTAAAACATGCCTAGTACTATATGAACCTTTGCTGTTTTTATTACTTTTATTATTGTTATTGCTGTTTTTGTTGTTTATCTACTTCTTCAGAGTTAGACTTGAATCCCTCTTTCATCCCCTTGGGCAAAGATGCCTTGACCCCTTAGAACTTCAATTTCCATATCTGAAGAATTTGGATAGCAATACTCACCCACAAAGTTGCTGTGAGAATTAAATGAGATTTAGGTGGAACACACCAGTACTCAATAAATGGGAGATACGCCATCCACGACCTGCAGAATTGCCTGGCATGAGCAGGGTTCCATATGGTTGGGACCTTTTCTCCTTATTCCTGAATGTGATTTGGTGGTCCTTGCCACTAAGCATTTGTTTACTTTGCTCCCTCTGCCTAGGATATCCTTTCCACCAATACACCTCATCCCATAACAATCCTGGGGAACACCAACTCCATTTTGAAGACTCAGTTGCAGCATCAGAAGCCTTTCCTGATCACATCTCCCCACATCCCCAAAACACCCCAGACCAGCAGAACCGACCAAGCCTCCTTCCTTTGTAGCCCATCTTCTGACTCTCTACAGATTCTGTCACTGTAACTTTAGTTTATGTGTCTGCACAGACAACACAAACAAATCCCTCTACTACACTATAAGCAAACGGAGGCCAGGGCAAGTCTTCACACTGCAGTAGCTCACTATTTTTTGTTGTTATTGTTGATGAATGAATGAATGAATAAATGAATGTGTGTGGCAGAAGTCACATACTAGTAAAGCACAAGACATTTTCTAGGTAACAATAGCACATTTAATCACGGACAAAGGCTCCGTGTCTTAAATATGAATAAAGGTGAAAAATATTGATTGGTTTTGAGTGACAACTCATGGGTAATAATGTAATTACTGGAGCCTCACAACATACCTTGTCAAAAATCACTGGTAAAGACTAAAGGTTCTAAGATCCTTGATTATTGGGAGATTGCTTTGTGCTTGACACTTTGCAAATATTATCATATTTGATTCCCACAGTGATACTGCAAGGTAGTTATTATCACTTTGATTTACAAATAGAGAAAAGGAGAGTAAAGTTTTCCAAGCAACTTCTACAAGGTCCCACACTACTAAATTGTGGGGGACCTCGGGGTGGGACTATATCACACCCAGATCTACCTGACTCTAATTCTACCTTATCCTACATTATCTCGTGGAGTTCACAGAAGCTAGTTCCTTTCTTTTCAACTACTTACAAGAACTCCAACTATTCCTAGACAATAGGATAGCTGAACTCAGATCTCTTTCAGGACTTACTGTCAAAATGCCACTAAAGCAAACCCAAAGGGTTAACCTCAAGCCTAGCAAATGAAGGGGAGTAAAACAGTCAAAAAGGTGGCCGGGCATGGTGGCTTATGCCCGTAATCTCAGCACTTTGGGAGGCCGAGGCAGGTGGATCATGAGGTCAGGAGTTCAAGACCAGCCTGGCTAATATGGTGAAACCCCGTCTTTACTACAAATATAAAAATTAGCTAGGCATGGTGGCACGCGCCTGTAGTCCAAGCTGCTCAGGGGGCTGAGGCAGGAGAATTGCTTGAATGCAGGAGGTGGAGGATGCAGTGAATCGAGATCGCGCCACTGCATTCAAGCCTGGGCCACAGAGCGAGACTCCATCTCAAAAAAAAAAAAAAAAAAAAGTCAAAAAGGTAATCCCAATGTTTCATGAAGTATTGCTTTGACCTTGAAAGAAATGTGGTCTAGAACTTACCCCAACTAAATCCTAAAGTAGGTTTACTTTTACTGCACTGGGTGTGGTAGCTCACGCCTGTAATCCCAGCACTTTGGGAGGCCAAGGAGGGTGGATCACGAGGTCAGGAGATCGAGACCATCCTGGCTAACACAGTGAAACCCTGTCTCTACTAAAAATACAAAAAATTAGCCGGGCGTGGTGGCGGCACCTATAGTCCCAGCTACTTGGGAGGCTGAGGCAGGAGAATGGCGTGAACCTGGGAAGCAGAGCTTGCACTGAGCCGGAGATTGCAGTGAGCCGAGATCGCGCCATTGCACTGGGAAACAGAGCCAGACTCCGTCTCAAATAATAATAATAATAATCATCATCATCATCATCATCATCATCATCATCATCATCATCATCCTATGCTTTAAGTCAACAGAGAAATTTTACACACCTTGACACTGCCACTGCCCCCTCCCCACCCCAACCCTCCCACCCTCTGCAGAGCAAGATAATAGGGAAGGTCTTTTTCTACATGAGATGTAAACAGACATTTACTAGATATATGAACTAGTTAGGGCGTAATGGTTCAAAGCAAGGGCACTGGAACTCGACTGCTTGGTTTCAAGTCTGGCAAGTAGGTCAAATCACTTAAGTTTCCTATGTCTCAGTCTCCTGATCTATAAAATTGGAATGATGATAGAATGTGGCTTATAGGGCTATCATGGAGATTAACTGAGGGGAACAATGTCTGGGACAGTTTACTCAATATATTTTCACCATTTTTGATGTTACTACCAACAACTTCCAATCTTTGGTGTTAATAGCAAGGCTTGGCATAACAGTTCATTTGATTTCAGCACGGTGTGTGCTTTGCCAGAGTTATTTGGGTTTACTTAGATTGATTGGAACATCTGTTTTCTGTCCTTGACTATACAACTGATGACAAAATAATTGCGGGCCCAAAGGAATAAGGAAAATGAGGTACCAGGTAGTAGGTATAACCCAGGCTAGCATTTTAAACATTAAGAATAAACCAAAATCTGCTTATTTCATGAAAAGCCACAATTACATGTAGCACCATGCATACTGCAGTTTAACTTGGGATGGCATTCATCATTTCTGTCTTCATGCCACACTCCTCCATGACTTAGAGCAATCAGAAACCAATTCAAGAGGCTGGTTGTATTGCGAGGAGTGGAGAGAACAAAGAACAGACCTTCTGATAACTGGGTCTCACTCCTGTTTCTCCTTCCTACCCAGAAAGATCAAATCTCAAAGGTAGGCTAATATGTATAGCTTGGAAATTTGAGACTTAGAGAAAACTAGAAAAATCCACAGTGAAGACAAAGCAAAAACTTGATGTCAGAAATTCCTTTCTTCCTAACTTCAACACAGCCTCTAGATTACTTGGACATTATCATCTATGACTTCAGAAAAGACAATTTCTCATTCTCAGACATTAGGCATGGTAAAGTATCAGGTTGAAATCTAATCCAAACAGCCAAGTTAACTCACAAAAATTACTTTGTAAAAATTAAAAATAGAAAAAAAAATTAAGAGAACTGGCCTAAGCATCACAAATGCATCTTATGGAATAAGTCCTTAAATAGATCAAATACTGTGACTCGAAGGCACACAAATGCTTCCTGAAAATTTATAAATTGATTAATTCAACAGCTATTTACTGATCCCCAATTATAAGCCAGGAACTATGCTGGGTGCTAGAAATCTAAAGATGAAAGTTGTTTCCTTGTATTCTACAAGATCCCAGTCTAGCAGTGGTGGAAAAATACACAGGCAGACATTTATAAGACACTATGCGAATGACCAGTGACTCAGATCTGAATAGTCTAACAGAAGGAAGGAGCCCCAGCCCCTGACCTAGTTTGGATGGTTGGAGGCAGGGGCTCCTAAAGCAGGTGAGGCAGAAGTATATCAGCCATCAGGGAAGGAAGATGGGGAGGTAAAGGCTTTCAAGTACACCCTGAGACAAAAGAGACAAAGTCAAATACACAGTAGAGAAAAATAGCCAGATGGTACAAAACTGTTGAGCTACACAGTCTGAAGGAGATGGAACTCTGCATTCTGAAGAAGTTGGTTAGTGTAAAGTTCTGGGTCTGAAGTCTGACAGATGTATATTTGATTCTTTCTCACCACCAGTTTCCTGTGCAAACTTCTGTAAGTGAACACACCTCTTCGAAACTCACTTTTCTCACTTGTAAGGTGGAAATAATGGCATTTCCTTTACAGGGTCATTTTTCCTGGTATCTGCACTTGATGGGGTTCAGGACATGCTATCCCAAAATATGGCATGTTAGTATTTTGAATAGTTTAAGCTGAAGGTATCTGAGAAAATCATAGAGGCATAGAGGTCACTCTTACCTTTCCCCCACCATTCTCCCCTAAAGCAGGTCATTAAACCTAGGATTTTCTGACTGTCCCCTGAAGCAGGTCATAAGACCCTCATGTGAGAGGTGCCCTCCCTGTACTCAAAGGAAAGCACCATCCTTGTATCTGGAGATGAAGGATCACACGGATGAAACTGCACTAACAGGCTTTGCTAAGTTCCCCAGTTTATTACCATTAAATCATGCCCTTCTTGCCCTATCATATTTTTCCATGTCTGTCTACTCTTCATCAAGCCTAACATAAAAATACTCATGTTTAACTGTTCCTCTGGGTCTACATTTCTGTATGATACCTCCCATATCACATAAAACATATTACATAAATGTGTATGCTTCTCTCTTGTTAATCTATCTTTTGTTAAAAGGGCCCCAGCTATGAACCTAGGATAGACAGAAGAAAAGATAACTCTCCTCGTCTACACTCTATTTAAGGTCCAGGACCCAAGGAAACCCCCCAGCTTATCTTGGGGCAAACTGGAATAGTTGCTCATCCTAGGTATAAGGCAAGAGCCTTGTACTTGGGATATAGGCACTACTAAACAAATGTTAGTGTACAATTTCTCTTGGGAGAAAGCAGGACTAGGTTGCCTTCAGCAACCTTCTCTTGCCCCTAGACAAATGGTCTCATTTATAAAATTATTCAAAGGCTCCTTGAAGGTAGGGAAAGTAATCAGCACCCCAGATAATCCCCTCAAAAACATAAAACAAACCAGTGAGATGCTTGAGGAAAACACCAGGAAACAGATGGGAAGTGACAGGACAGGTTCTTTAGAACATTTAAACTAAAAAAAAAAGCCTGAAATTTAAGGAAAAAAAATATTAATTAGCAGGCTAGCTCTCTTCTCTCTCCAACCTCTGATGCCAAGCTCAGTACCACCTCCTGTGATAAGAGTTTCGGTTGCAACAGAAACTTCCAAAGGTTTTGTCAGGGTTAGTTGAACATTGACAGATTCTTCACAGCTTGGAATTAAATCTGAGAGCCAAAACCAGGCCAAGTTTCTATAAAGGCTAGGATTTTCCCTGGGGAGGGTTAGAGGGCTCTCCCACCTCTAGACTGATTAATTTATCCTTGACTCAAGCTTCGGACAATAAGACCAAAAAAGACAAATAGATTCTGAACCTGGATGTTGATTCTATCCCTCGCCTGCCACCACTACTCCCAGGAGACTAGAAACGGGATTGTAAGGTGACCCACACCACCGGATAAGACTCAGGCCAGAGGGCTCAGAGAATTAAGTGATAGGCAGAGCAGCTGGGGAGAAAAAACAAGCAAAACAAAACAAAACCCTAAGCAGGATAAAAAGCCCAGGGTTGTGGCACAATGAATGACATGTGGCTGACATAGTTTCAAAGAGAACAACAGCTTAGATAAATAGTGTAGAAGATGAGAGTAAAAATGAATTCAGAAAATCTCATGAAGTATGCACTGACATTTTTCAAAACCTGCAGTTGAAATGACATCTCTGCTTCTACTGAGGACAAGATTTAGCTCTCCTCTCCACCTCTGCACCTGCTCTTGACACCTGCCCACCTTCTCTGGACAGCAGCCCCAGCCAAGCTTGGTTCTCCTTTCTCTGTGCCCATCCTAGGTGCCTTAGGGAATGAGTGCCTGTGAGGGAGGGCACTGACTTTGAGGGAGACACTTCCAGATATCACCATTTACATGACCTCACGCAAATGAACTGAGTTTTTTGGGCCTCTGACATCCCATCTCTAAAAGGGAAATGATGATTTAAAAGTAAAAAAAGCCAGGTGTGTTGGCTCATGCCTGTAATCCCGGCACTTTGGGAGGCCAAGGCAGGCAGATCACCTGAGATTGGGAGCTCGAGACCAGCCTGACCAACATGGAGAAACCCCATCTCTACTAAAAATACAAAATTAGCCGGGCGTGGTGGTGCATGCCTGTAATCCCAGGTACTCGGGACGCTGAGACAGAAATGCTTGAACCCGGGAGGCGGAGGTTGCAGTGAGCCAAGATCGTGCCATCGCACTCCAGCCTGGGCAACAAGAGTGAAACTCCATCTCAAAAAAAAAAAAAAAAAAAAAAAAAAAAAAAGTAAAGAACATACATATAGTCTTGGCTTGAAAGAACAGTGCTGTCACACGTTCAGCCCTGATTAATAGTATCTCCCTCCTCTGTTTAGAAGGATTCAATTCAGTAAACATTTACAGAGCACAACTTTACATCAGGTACTGTGCTCAGCACTGCTGGGGAAATAATACTTGAAAAAAAATGTAATCTCTGTCCTCAGAGAGCTTGTAATCTCCTGAGGAGCCAACGACATGGCAGAGGCAGACTAATCATGGCTTCAAGAGAGGACAAACAAGCCTTTTGGCAAGAAGTAATTCCCGCTGTATGGGCCTAAGAAGCCTTCTTTACTGAGGCCCTCTTTCCTCTGACCTTATGATTACAAGGATCTCCTCCACCCTGGCTGTGGCTGCTGACTCTCAGCCACAAAAATGGCTTAGCTGTTATCATCAGCAGCAGCTAGTAGTTGTGTAGTATTTACGCAGGACAGGTGCTGTTTTGAGTGTTTTAGGTAAATTAACTTATTTAATTCTTACAACTGCTATGATGATGCCCATTTTGGAGATGAAATATTTAGACTCAGCACGTTCAGTAACTGACACATGATCACAAAGACAGTAGGTGACAGCATGGAATATAAACTTAGGTAGTCTGGCTCCAGAAATCATACTTCTTTCTAACCATTAAGCTGTTGAAATGGTGTTATCTGTATCCCTGTACATATTTTTGGTACATTGAAGTACACATTTCTTTCGGATATATTCTGCATATCCATATTATTTTTCATTCTCCTTCTGATTTTTCTCCTATTAAATTCTGTATTTCAAAGGAAATAATTTTAAAATGACTTTTAAAATAACATTCAATCTACCATTTTGAAGTACCACTAGGCAAACCTGGAATATATCCAAGTCAGTTCTGTTTTCTTGTGAGTTCTTTGGAATGGTAACTCCCCAGACTCCCTTCAGCATGGGCCAGAGGCAGTAACTAGGCCAGACAAGATGGAGCAGCTACCATCTTGCCAGGATTTCCAGCTCTGTACAGGCCTGGCAGCACCTGCTGTGCTGTCGGTGGGCACTGTGCCCTCAAGTTAGATGGTCCTTTTCATTGTCCATATCCTCCCTCCATTCAGCTGTCTGCTTGCCAATCTATAGCCGAAATTCTGGCAGGCTGGCAGGTGTTCTTCCCTTCTTCTCCCTTCCATCATCTTTCTATGGGGCTGTGTGGCCCAAGGCAGAGATGAAAGAGGCTCAGAATCCCTGGTTATATATACAAGAGAAACTCAATGTATTAACATTCCATGGAGAAAGTAATCACTGATGAAATAATTTCAGCTGAGGAAGTTGCAATTCTATCTAATACATTGTTTGAGGAAGGCTCACTGTTAAAGACATCAAAAAACAAACAAACAAACAGACAAATAAAAAAGCCTACTTGCCACCACTATCACTAACATGGATTGTGCACTAAAAAAGAGGATTCATAACATAATTTTTCCCTTACTTGATTACTCATGATTATGAGTATAGCAAGGTGGGAGTAGAATTTAACATTTATGAAGCACCTAATACAGGCAGGAAGTGTGTTGAGTTGGGAGTTGCTCCTTTGTGTGCTGACATATAAAGTGACACACCCTGACTTCACTTCTAACAAACTCCTTCTCTAATTGTTTATTAATTACCACTCACCTCCTCCTCTCCGTTCTTCAGAGCCAGGTTATTTCATACTCATGTCTGCATTCCCAGTGCCTAGCACAGGGCGGCCCAGAGCCTTTGATATTTTTAATAAACCTTATCAATGAAGTATAACCTACATTAAAAAGCTACAGATTTTAAGTATAGAATTTAGTGGAGTCTTACAAAGTAAACACACCTATCCAGATCAAGAAATAAACCTCATGTCCTTTTCCAAATACCATGCCTTGCCAGAGATAACCACTGTCCAGATGTCTACACCACAGGATTTGCTTAATTTTTAAACCATTCGGTGTATTTTCTTTGTGCCAGCTTCAGTCACCCATGTTTGTGAGATTCAACCACACTGCTGCATGTAGCAATATTTTGTACATTTTTGTTGCCATAAAATCCTTTACTCCACGAATATACCAAACATTGATGAATTCTATTATTGATGGGAACTGGGGGTTTGCAGTTTTTGCCTATTGCAAATAATGGTTTTACATGTATTACTATATACGTATTTTTTCTGGTACACATTTCTGTTGGATATATGTCTAAGAATAGGACTGCTGAATCATAGCCTATCATGATACTGCCAAACTCTTTCCCAAAGTGTGGTCATATTTCCACATCAATGCTTGAGCATTTCAGGTGTTTGATATCCCCATCAATACTTGGCATTATCAAACCGTTTGATTTTAGCCAACCTGCAGGGTGTGTAGTGATATCATAGTATGGTTTTAATTTGGACTTTCCTAATGACTAACAAGGCTGGACAATTTTTCGTATCTTATTGTCCATTTGTATATCCTCTTTTCTGCAAAGCTGCTCAAATGTATATATGCACACATTTATACACATTTAACCATTGTTCTGTCAAAATAATTGTTCTTTTCTCATTAATGTGTAGACATTCTTTACATACTCTGGATACACATCTTTTGTTATATGCATTGCAACTATTTCCTTCCACTTTGTGGCTTGCATTTTCACTCTTTTAATGGAAGCTTTTGATGAAAAGAAGTTTCTTATTTTAACATAGTCTTATTTACCAATCCTTTTCTTTATGGTTGTACTTACATTAATGTCCTATTTAGGAAAATTGTCTATCTCAAAGTCATGAAGACCTTGTCTTTTAGGAACTTTATTTTTTTAAATTTCATACTTAAGTTTTTAATCTGTTTGGAATGTATTTGTATGCATAGTATAAGGAGAAGGGCCAAAATTCAATTTCTGCCATAGTGATAACCAATCGGCAGGGTACTATTTCACTGAAAAATACATTGCTTCCTTACAGCTCTGGCAACGGCATCTTTGCCACAAATTAACTGTCCATACATGTGTGAGTTTGTTTCTGGGCTCCTTAATCTGTTTTCCTCTGGGTTGTCTGTCCTTCCCTCAATACCATTCTTAATTACTTCGTAATATGTTCTGCTATCTGGCATTATGGAGTTTTCCCAACTTTGTTCTTTTTCAAGACTGTCTTATTATTGATCCTTTCCATCTAAGTTTTAGGATGTCTACCAATTTCCATCCTCTTACACACAAATCTGCTAGAATGCTGAACTGAAGTACACTGAATCTATAGAACAACCGGGAAGAAACTGTCACATTTATAATACTGTTTTCCAATCAATGAACATCATATATCCCTCGATTTATTTATGACTTCTTTAGTTACTCTCAATGTTTTATACCTTTCTGCATAGATGTCTTACACATCTTCCTTCCTAGGTACTTAATATTTTTATTTTATTGTAAATCATGCTATTTAAACATTTTTATTTATTTTATTATTATTATACTTTAAGTTTTAGGGTACATGTGCACAATGTGCAGGTTAGTTACATATGCATATACGTGCCATGTTGGTGCGCTGCACGTACTAACTCCTCATCTAGCATTAGGTATATCTCCCAATGCTATCCCTCCCCCCTCCCCCCACCCCACAACAGTCCCCAAAGTGTGATGTTCCCCTTCCTGTGTCCATGTGTTCTCATTGTTCAATTCCCACCTATGAGTGAGAATATGCGGTATTTGGTTTTTTGTTCTTGCTATAGTTTACTGAGAATGATGATTTCCAATTTCATCCATGTCCCTAACAAAGGACATGAACTCATCCTTTTTTATGGCTGCATAGTATTCCATGGTGTATATGTGCCACATTTTCTTAATCCAGTCTATCATTGTTGGACATTTGGGTTGGTTCCAAGTCTTTGCTATTGTGAATAATGCCACAATAAACATACGTGTGCATGTGTCTTTATAGCAGCATGATTTATAGTCCTTTGGGTATATACCCAGTAATGGGATGGCTGGGTCAAATGGTATTTCTAGTTCTAGATCCCTGAGGAATCGCCACGCTGACTTCCACAATGGTTCAACTAGTTTACAGTCCCACCAACAGTGTAAAAGTGTTCCTATTTCTCCACATCCTCTCCAGCACCTGTTGTTTCCTGACTTTTTAATGATTGCCATTCTAACTGGTGTGAGATGGTATCTCATTGTGGTTTTGATTTGCATTTCTCTGATGGCCAGTGATGGTGAGCATTTTTTCATGTGTGTTTTGGCTGCATAAATGTCTTCTTTTGAGAAGTGTCTGTTTATGTCCCTCGCCCACTTTTTCATGGGGTTGTTTTTTTCTCGTAAATTTGTTTGAGTTCATTGTAGATTCTGGATATTAGCCCTTTGTCAGATGAGCAGGTTGTGAAAATTTTCTCCCATTTTGTAGGTTGCCTGTTCAGTCTGATGGTAGTTTCTTTTGCTGTGCAGAAGCTCTTTAGTTTAATGAGATCCCATTTGTCAATTTTGGCTTTTGTTGCCATTGCTTTTGGTGTTTTAGACATGAAGTCCTTGCCCATGCCTATGTTCTGAATGGTAATGCCTAGGTTTTCCTCTAGGATTTTTATGGTTTTAGGTCTAACGTTTAAGTCTTTAATCCATCTTGAATTGATTTTTGTATAAGGTGTAAGGAAGGAATCTAGTTTCAGCTTTCTCCATATGGCTAGCCAGTTTTCCCAGCACCATTTATTAAATAGGGAATCCTTTCCCCATTGCTTGTTTTTCTCAGGTTTGTCAAAGATCAGATAGTTGTAGATATGCGGCGTTATTTCTGAGGGCTCTGTTCTGTTCCATTGATCTATATTTCTGTTTTGGTACCAGTACCATGCTGTTTTGGTTACTGTACCCTTGTAGTATAGCTTGAAGTCAGGTAGCGTGATGCCTCCAGCTTTGTTCTTTTGGTTTAGGATTGACTTGGTGATGCGGGCTCTTTTTGGTTCCATATGAAGTTTAAAGTAGTTTTTTCCAATTCTGTGAAGAAAGTCATTGGTAGCTTGATGGGGATGGCATTGAATCTGTAAATTACCTTGGGCAGTATGGCCATTTTCATGATATTGATTCTTCCTATCCACGAGCATGGAATGTTCTTCCATTTGTTTGTGTCCTCTTTTATTTCCTTGAGCAGTGGTTTGTAGTTCTCCTTGAAGAGGTCCTTCACATCCCTTGTAAGTTGGATTCCTAGCTATTTTATTCTCTTTGAAGCAATTGTGAATGGGAGTTCACTCATGATTTGGATCTCTGTTTGTCTGTTATTGGTGTATAAGAATGCTTGTGATTTTTGCACATTGATTTTGTATCCTGAGACTTTGCTGAAGTTGCTTATCAGCTTAAGGAGATTTTGGGCTGAGACAATGGGGTTTTCTAGATATACAATCATGTCATCTGCAAACAGGGACAATTTGACTTCCTCTTTTCCTAATTGAATACCCTTTATTTCCTTCTCCTACCTGATTGCCCTGGCCAGAACTTCCAACACTATGTTGAATAGGAGTGGTGAGAGAGGGCATCCCTGTCTTGTGCCAGTTTTCAAAGGGAATGCTTCCAGTTTTTGCCCATTCAGTATGATATTGGCTGTGGGTTTGTCATAAATAGCTCTTATTATTTTGAAATATGTCCCATCAATATCTAATTTATTGAGAGTTTTTAGCATGAAGGGTTGTTGAATTTTGTCAAAGGCCTGCATCTATTGAGATAATCATGTGGTTTTTGTCTTTGGTTCTGTATATGCTGGATTATATTTTTTGATTTACCTATATTGAACCAGCCTTGCATCCCAGGGATGAAGCCCACTTGATCATGGTGGATAAGCTTTTTGATGTGCTGCTGGATAAGCTTTTTGATGTGCTGCTGGATTCGGTTTGCCAGTATTTTACCGAGGATTTTTGCATCAGTGTTCATCAAGGATATTGGTCTAAAATTCTCTTTTTTGGTTGTGTCTCTGCCTGGCTTTGGTATCAGGATGATGCTGGCCTCATAAAATGAGTTAGGGAGGATACCTTCTTTTTCTATTGATTGGAATAGTTTCAGAAGGAATGGTACCACTTACTCCTTGTACCTCTGGTAGAATTCGGCTGTGAATCCATCTGGTCCTGGACTTTTTTTGGTTGGTAAGCTATTGATTATTGACACAATTTCAGAGCCTGTTATTGGTCTATTCAGAGATTCAACTTCTTCCTGGTTTAGTCTTGGGAAAGTGTATGTGTCGAGGAATTTATCCATTTCTTCTAGATTTTCTAGTTTATTTGCAGAGAGGTGTTTGTAGTATTCTCTGATGGTAGTTTGTATTTCTGTGGGATCGGTGGTGATATCCCCTTTATCATTTTTTATTGCATCTATTTGATTCTTATTTTTTTCCTTATTACTCTTGCTAGAGGTCTATCAATTTTGTTGATCCTTTCAAAAAACCAGCTCCTGGATTCATTAATTTTTTGAAGGGTTTTTTGTGTCTTGATTTCCTTCAGTTCTGCTGTGATTTTAGTTATTTCTTGCCTTCTGCTAGCTTTTGAATGTGTTTGCTCTTGCTTTTCTAGTTCTTTTAATTGTGATGTTACGGTGTCAATTTTGGATCTTTCCTGCTTTCTCTTGTGGGCATTTAGTGCTATAAATTTCCCTCTACACACTGCTTTGAATGCATCCCAGAGATTCTGGTATGTTGTGTCTTTGTTCTCGTTGGTTTCAAAGAAGATCTTTATTTCTGCCTTCATTTCGTTATGTACCCAGTAGTCATTCAGGAGCAGGTTGTTCAGTTTCCATGTAGTTGAGCGGTTTTGAGTGAGATTCTTAATCCTGAGTTCTAGTTTGATTGCACTGTGGTCTGAGAGATAGTTTGTTATAATTTCTGTTCTTTTACATTTGCTGAGGAGAGCTTTGCTTCCAACTATGTGGTCAATTTTGGAATAGGTGTGGTGTGGTGCTGAAAAAAATGTATATTCTGTTGATTTGGGGTGGAGAGTTCTGTAGATGTCTATTAGGTCTCCTTGGTGCAGAGCTGAGTTCAATTCCTGGGTATCCTTGTTGACTTTCTCTCTCGTTGATCTGTCTAATGTTGACAGTGAGGTGTTAAAGTCTCCCATTATTAATGTGTGGGAGTCTAAGTCTCTTTGTAGGTCACTCAGGACTTGCTTTATGAATCTGGGTGCTCCTGTATTGGGTGCACATATATTTAGGATAGTTAGCTCTTCTTGTTGAATTGATCCCTTTACCATTATGTAATGGCCTTCTTTGTCTCTTTTGATCTTTGTTGGTTTAAAGTCTGTTTTATCAGAGACTAGGATTGCAACCCCTGCCTTTTTTTGTTTTCCATTTGCTAGGTAGATCTTCCTCCATCCTTTTATTTTGAGTCTATGTGTGTCTCTGCAGGTGAGATGGGTTTCCTGAATACAGCACACTGATGGGTCTTGACTCTTTATCCAATTTGCCAGTCTGTGTCTTTTAATTGGAGCATTTAGTCCATTTACATTTAAAGTTAATATTGTTATGTGTGAATTTGTTCCTGTCATTATGATGTTAGCTGGTGATTTTGCTCGTTAGTTGATGCAGTTTCTTCCTAGTCTCGATGGTCTTTACATTTTGGCATGATTTTGCAGTGGCTGGTACTGGTTTTTCCTTTCCATGTTTAGCACTTCCTTCAAGAGCTCTTTTAGGGCAGGCCTGGTGGTGACAAAATCTCTCAGCATTTGCTTGTCTGTAAAGTATTTTATTTCTCCTTCACTTATGAAGCTTAGTTTGGCTGGATATGAAATTCTGGGTTGAAAATTCTTTTCTTTAAGAATGTTGAATATTGGCCCCCACTCTCTTCTGGCTTGTAGAGTTTCTGCCAAGAGATCCGCTGTTAGTCTGATGGGCTTCCCTTTGAGGATAACCCTACCTTTCTCTCTGGCTGCCCTTAACATTTTTTCCTTCATTTCAACTTTGGTGAATCTGACAATTATGTGTCTTGGAGTTGCTCTTCTCGAGGAGTATCTTTGTGGCGTTCTCTGTATTTCCTGAATCTGAATGTTGGCCTGCCTTGCTAGATTGGGGGAGTTCTCCTGGATAATATCCTGCAGAGTGTTTTTCAACTTGGTTCCATTCTCCCCGTCACTTTCAGGTACACCAATCAGACGTAGATTTGGTCTTTTCACATAGTCCCATATTTCTTGGAGGCTTTGTTCGTTTCTTTTTATTCTTTTTTCTCTAATCTTCCCTTCTCACTTCATTTCATTCATCTCATCTTCCATCGCTGATACCCTTTCTTCTAGGTGATCGCATCGGCTCCTGAGGCTTCTGCATTCTTCACGTAGTTCTCGAGCCTTGGTTTTCAGCTCCATCAGCTCCTTTAAGCACTTCTCTGTATTGGTTATTCTAATTATACATTCTTCTAAATGTTTTTCAAAGTTTTCAACTTCTTTGCCTTTGGTTTGAATGTCCTCCCGTAGCTCGGAGTAATTTGATCGTCTGAAGCCTTCTTCTCTCAGCTCTTCAAAGTCATTCTCCGTCCAGCTTTGTTCCGTTGCTGGTGAGGAACTCCGTTCCTTTGGAGGAGGAGAGGCGCTCTGCGTTTCAGAGTTTCCAGTTTTTCTGCTCTGTTTTTTCCCCATCTTTGTGGTTTTATCTACTTTTGGTCTTTGATGATGGTGATGTACAGATGGGATTTTGGTGTGGATGTCCTTTCTGTTTGTTAGTTTTCCTTCTAACAGACAGGACCCTCAGCTGCAGGTCTGTGTGAGGTGTCAGTCTGCCCCTGCTGGGGGGTGCCTCTCAGTTAGGCTGCTCGGGGTTCAGGGGTCAGGGACCCACTTAAGGAGGCAGTCTGCCCGTTCTCAGGTCTCCAGCTGCGTGCTGGGAGAACCACTGCTCTCTTCAAAGCTGTCAGACAGGGACATTTAAGTCTGCAGAGGTTACTGCTGTCTTTTTGTCTGTTCCCTGCCCCCAGAGGTGGAGCCTACAGAGGCAGGCAGGCCTCCTTGAGCTGTGGTGGGCTCCACCCAGTTCGAGCTTCCCGGCTGCTTTGCTTACCTAAGCAAGCCTGGGCAATGGCGGGCGCCCCTCCCCCAGCCTCGCTGCAGCCTTGCAGTTTGATCTCAGACTGCTGTGCTAGCAATCAGTGAGACTCCGTGGGCGTAGGACCCTCCGAGCCAGGTGCGGGATATAATCTGGTGTGCTGTTTTTTAAGCCCGTCGGAAAAGCGCAATATTCGGGTGGGAGTCACCCGATTTTCCAGGTGCTGTCACCCCTTTCTTTGACTAGGAAAGGGAACTCCCTGACCCCTTGCACTTCCCGAGTGAGGCAATGCCTTGCCCTGCTTCAGCTCGTGCATGGTGCGCGGCACCCACTGTCCTGCGCCCACTGACTGGCACTCCCTAGTGAGATGAACCCCGTACCTCAGACGGAAATGCAGAAATCACCGTCTGCTGTGTCGCTCAAGCTGGGAGCTGTAGACGGGAGCTGTTCCTATTCGGCCATCTTGGCTCCTCCCTAAAATTTTTATTTTCTAAATGGTTGCCTCTGGATTAGAGAAATAAAATAGAGTTTTGTATTGACTTTCTGCAATAGCAACCTTGCTAAATTACTTATTAATTTTAATATTTTATCTATAGATTCTTTTGACATTCTATATGTGTATAATTGTATCATCTATGATGTTAGCTTTCTTTCTTTCTAATTCTTATATTTTCCATTTATTTTTCTTGACTTGTTGCACTAGATAGGCCCTGTGGAATAAACGTGGTAAGAATTGGAACATTGTAATATTTCACCATTAAGTATGATATTTGCATTATGTTTTTTTCTTTGTTGATATCCTTAATCAAAATAAGTTCCTTTCTACTCGTAGTTTGCCATGATTTTTAAAAAAATCATGAATATGTGCTAAGTTGTATCAAAAGCATTTGTAAACAACTGTTAATTTTTCTCTTGCATCCTTTTAATATGGAATTGCATTAATTGATTATTCAAAAGTTAAAATAACTCACTTGAGTTCTTTTATAAGTTTTGAAAAACTTTTGGCCAATATCTCTTCAAATATAGCTTCTATGTATGATTTATTATCTCTCTTCTCTCATTCTTGGACTCCAACTACACCTCTGTTAGACCTCTTTACCATGCTCCATATATCTCATACTTGTTTGTGTATTTCATGTATTTTCCATCCTTTTGTATACTGGCTGTAGTATAAATAGATTTTTCAGATCTATGTTTCAGTTCTCTAATTCTCTTTTCAATTATATTGTATGCTGTTGACTTTACTCCATTTAGTCAATTCTTAATCTCAGTTATTAGTTTCAATTCTAGAATCCCCACTTCTTTTTCTACTTCCCAGATCTCTGCTGAATTCTCCATCTTCTCCTATAATTTGTTGACCATATTAATCACAGATATGTTAGAGTTCATGTCAAATACCACCAGCATATGGACTTTTCTGTGGCTTTGTTTTTACTCTTGATTTTTGAAATTATTCATATTTTACATGCTTATTTTCTACTCAATGCAGACATTACATATGAAACCTTTTAGTTATAACTTGAGCTTCTGATTATGTTACCTACCTCTAGAAAGGATATAACCTTGCTTCTTGCAGTTAGCTCAAGTAGGGATAGATGATCTGAATTTAATCAGATGTTAATTTAATTCAAACCCAGGCTTTGGCCTTTGTAAAGTTTGTCTATTTTTAGTTTACACTGACTTTCGGGGTCCCAAATAACACCTAGAGGATTTACTAGTATTCTCCCTCTTCAATGATGTCCAAACTCAAATATATATACTTCCAGCCTGCAGACTGCCCAAACTGGTGTTTAGCTTCTTGGCCTCTGAGTTGCAGGTTTCAACTCAGCAAATGCTCATAGTGTATTATAAAATGGTGGAAATGTTGAGTCCAAATCTCAGCAAGTCAGTAAATGCTCAGCGTATAAAAGGGTGGAAATGTTGAACCCAGCTCTGTAGGCTTCTCTTTTGATCTTGGCCCCTCAAGTCCTTTAGTAGCTCTCTGGTGCCTTGTGAGTTGAATATGTGGATACATTTAATTTTCACCAGCTTTTTATTTTGGGGGACCAAGAGGACAGCCCATTGTTGCCAGAAAAAAAAATTCAATAAATGGCAAGTGAATAAATTAATGAATTAAATACATTCTATTTGTGATCACATTTATTCCAACAATACCACTTCAATAGTAGGAAAATTTTGGCATATAAAAGTGGATATATTAGAAGAAAAAGCATGAATCTTGATCTTCACACCTATATAAAAAAGTGAGGTTTAAAGAGGTGACTTGTAGAAGTTACATAACTGGTAAGGGCAGATTTGAGACTTACACTCAATCCTCCTGACACATAGACTCTGCTTACTTCTGTTAAATAGTGCCATGCCATCATTGTCCAGTGCACTCTTGCTTCAGAGAGCTATATATGTAGCACTTTAAGCCCATGCATTAAAGGACCCCATCACTGTTCATCAGCCTATTTTTAATTTTTTAATGTCCCCTCTTGTTCCATTGATACTGCCTTGGAACTGCGTCAGTTCTGGCCTTCAAGGTCTCTTACAACAGTCCCGTCTTCTGGTCCATTAACCTCACTGCCTCTAAAGTTTCTGTTTACAAGCTAGTACCTTAAGGATAAAAATTCCAATCTCTTTTAAATGATGTTCAAGGCCCTCAAAAACTTTGTCCCCACATATATCTCTCACACTTCTATTTCAGCATACTCTACACTATAGTATACTCGGTATTCTGCAGCCAAAGGGGTACCCTCATGCTTCTGGATCTTGGTGCATACTACCTCCCTCTGCTTCCCTCTCCTTCTCACCCTCCTTCCTGCCTAGCCGTCTTGTCCATCTGATAAATTCCTATTTCTCCCTCCAATTCATCTTTAAGTGTCAAACCAATCATTTTTGGGGGAAGGGGAGGGAATTTTACTAACTTGCTCAGGTAAAGTGAGGTTAGACTCCTGTAATAGCCCAGACATGCTTTTATCAGACACTTTCCACATCATACTCGGATGGCTTACTTGCCTGTTTGTCCAATCAGAATGGGAGCTCTTTGAGGACAGAGACTATAATTTGTTCATATTTATATCTTTAGTACCTAGCACAGTACCTGACATGAAAGGCAGATATGTTACCTGTTGGTTGAAGCTAGGAGAAAATAATATTTTTGCATAGTCAGCTATTAATTATTAAAATTACAGCATATTTTATCTATAATTCTAAGTTAGCAGTGCTGGGTGACAGCCGGAGAATAATCCTTGTACTTTCCTACAGTATGTGCACTCTATGGCAAGTGTTTTCTCAGCTTTGGGAGGCCTTTTGTTTTGCTTATTTAACTTCAGGATTTACGGCTCTACTTTAAATGAGTGAGTATACTAGATATCTCCATCTAAGACAATAGATTTAAATGAATGCCCAGTTTGAGACTGGATGAATTACCCTGACTGCCTTGAAGTTAACAAGTTATTATTATCTTCTGCCAAATATGAGATGAAATCTATTTCAAATTAAAAAGGAAAAATACTTTTATACATTTAATTTAGTAATAGCTATGTAAATAGAAAGAGCTAGAAGAATATAAAGAACATCAAAAATTTTAAATAACTTGTGCCTAATGCATGGATTTGTTTTAAAAAGTTGTCAAACTCCCTATCTTCTTTTCAAGCCCCACTGCCAAAACCTATTTCAGGAAACCTCTTTGCCTTTTCCCCCAACTATTGTGTATAAAAGTATATAAAGCCATGCTTAAAATGAATCTCTGGCTTGAGATCACCTTCAATGATTTGCCAATGCCTCCAGGGAGAAAGAGGAAGCACAAACTCCAAAACGGTACTCAGATGGGACAGACTCCCAATCTATCTCCACCTATTTGATCATTATATCCTCTTCTTCCAGGAATCCCTTAGAGATATCATAGATTTCAGCCAAACTGAAATGCTTACCATTCCACGACCTCATCTCAGTGCCTCCATTTATGTTATTCTCTCCATCCAGAATACTCTACGTTTCATTGCTTCCAGTGGAGAATACACCTATTCTCCCAGATTCATTCAAAGGCTATCCCTTCCCACTTCCCAGAAGGACCATGGTAGCTAACCTCAGGGGGTTCTCACTGCCAGCTGTGTGACCTTGAGCAAGCTGCTGGAGTCAATGTGAAGATTATACATGTAGACTCTCTAGCATATTTCTATCAGGAAGGTCCCTCAATAAATATTAGTATTTTTGTCTTTTCTTTGCCTTACTGTTTCAACTGAAAGTGATTCTTCCCTTTTTAAAATTCCTGTAGAACTCAATCCATCTGCCTCTATTTCTTTGTATCACTGTATTTGCCACAGTAACTAGTCTAGTGCTTAGCATGTTAAGCAAACCCATTCATTCACGCATGTATTCATTCATGCATATATTCATTCATTTACTGAGCTAAGAGACACAGAGATGAAGATGACTAGATTCCATTGTTCATAAAAAGTTCACAGTCTAAGTGGGACAGACAGCTATATAATCATCTATTTAGGTGTTTAAATAGTTATTGTCTGCATGTTACATTTAATGATGGATATGCATAAGGGAAACAAATTATTAGGCCACGCATTTGGCTGAGCTATAATGATACACCACAGTAAAGCAGACAGTATATAAATTCCTTTGAAGAGCCACATTACTGGGCATATTTAATATATTTCACAAAATCCAATTGCGTGGGTTTTTCTTTACAACTTTGAGCTGTGAGAGGCCTCAATCCAGAAGGCATATAAAGTTTTCATTCATATTATTGATACTGGTAGGAGACTCCCATCTGAGGGTTTCATGGTGGTGAGTCACAAGGCTGATATACTTTTAACTCCTGAGGCTAAATCCAGCCCAGGGACCTGTAACAATACAGATCGACAGCCTAACACTTTATCTTTCAACAAAATAGAAGAGGCTTAGCTTTCCCTAGAGCTGAGCATTTGGTTAAAAGATGCCCCATGTCTTCAGGTTTTAGAACATTAGAAGAAAATCATCTACAGCTGTTAACGCTGGCTTGGGTGAAGCTATATAATGGTAAAAGAGAGCAAGCTGGGGCCAGACAGACCAAGGTTCTCTCTGTTCAACCACACTAGCTGCCTGAGTCTAAGCGAGTCTCCTTCCTCTCTTTAAATGGGGGTGGTGAGAATGTGCACAGCCATAAAAGTTGCTGTCCACATTAAGTGGCATCTAGGTAAACAGGTAGTATCCAGCTCATGGGAAGTATAACACATTGGAAAAACTCTTTATTGCTCTACTTTTGAAACAAAAAATTTAAAATGCAGTCTTTCAATTAGCCTGGATTCAACTTTGCTCTTTCTGGATTATGTACAGACAGTTTTTGATGGTAAACAACGTTGAGTCTAATTAGTCTGCCCCTCTTGCTATCTTTTAAGGTACCACTGGTGAAGTTCATCAGGCTCATGTGTGGGCTGGATACAGTGCAGATATTTAGGCCCCAGTTAAAGCCACTGATCAGAATGAGTTGTGGTGGTGGGGACCCAGCCATCCGCATTTTAACTAGCTCCATGAATGCCTATGCAGACTCAAGTTTGAAAACTGCTGCAAGAAGTAATAAGAATGGAAATCAGATTAAAAAAACCTATAAGTCATTCTAAGTTTAAATTGAAATAATCTTTTTATTTGGTTATCTATATTATGAATTCGATTAACGATGGATGATTGGAAGTAATCAAAATAACCTATTTTCTCATGTTGCCCCTTCATACATTTTCCATTCTGTCTCCAGTAAACAGTAATTTCTAACTAAAACAGGAACAGAGGCAAGTTATGTGGGGTAATTTGTCATCACCACCAACAAAATGAAGATGCAAACATTTACAAGTATGGGTGCAGAAATCCTAAGGGGCTCTGGAAGAACATTCAGCAGCTCAGACTGCAGTGAATATGAGCAAACTTTGTATGTTTTTTGTTTGGGTTTGAAGACTGGAGAAGAGACAATGGGGTGAAGAGAAAGGGGCAGAGATAAAATTGCTCTCACAAAAGACACTGGCAGAAAGAAGAGTGGGTATGAGACAGTGAAATCAGCACTGCCCACCCTCAGGCCTGGCAGATGAGAAACAGTGATCGTGAAACACTGAAGGTAGAGATGCAGGAATACAGTTTCCTGTGCAACTATGACTCTACAGGGTAAGTGCGGTTGCAAAGATAAAGTGCTAGGCACTAGTAGGGAGCAAATAATTTCGGAATCCTCCCCAGAGCCTGACAAAATAAATATCTGCTTAATTTCACTTAAGTAAGCTTTTGCTCTAAGCTTAAAATGAGATGGTATCTTTTTACTACTTTAATGGAAGATCATCCATTAGTATTAAAAACTGTAATTACACTACCAAGGCACATGCTTGATAACGAAGAATATTCCAGATATTTTTCACATCAAAATCAGTGCTGAGAAAGCTATTTGAACAGATAGGTTTGCTTGAAATTAATTTTAGCATTCAATCTCTTTGGCTGGGAATTTAAGGCCTTTTACATTCTAGCTTCCAACTGGGAGTAGCTAACACTTGTTGAGTGCTTACAATGTGTCAGGAGAAGGCATCTCTAAAATAACCCTGTGAGGCACTATTCCCATCCCCATTTGCAGAAGGGAAATCTGAGGCACAGAGCAGGTAAGCTCTTTACTAACAAGTGGCAAAACAGGGGTTTGAACCCAGGCAGTCTGATTCCAGTCAGAGTGTGCTACACAGGCTCCGTCTTCCCGGCTGCCTCTCGCTGCCCCTCTCGCACATTTGAATGGCGAGGTGGCCACACCAAAATGTTCCTTGATTATGAAGGGCATTTTAACGTCCCTGAGCCTCTGCACATTCTACTACTGCTTCTTAAAAGGCTTATCCAAGTTTTCACTTTCTAGGAGTTTTCACCTCCTAACTTGTCCTGGAAGAGCTGGCTGATCCATTCCCTATACTCTTGTAACATTTTTACACCGCCTGGAAAAGCAGTATGCAAGTTGTATTAGGATTTTTCTGAATACAGATCTCCCATTTCCACCAGCTGCTGAGTCATCTAGAGAAGGGACTGGGTCATCTTCATCCTGGTATTCCCAGTGCCCAGCACATGCTTGAGGCAAAGTATGTGCTCAACATATATTTGCTGATTGAAAAAATCTCTGCCTTGCTTTTTACACAATGAAATATTTCCTCTCTTCATTAAGGTATGTTTCCTCAAATGTCCCCATTCTAGACTGAACTTTCCTGACCTCTGTATACCAGTAGCACCTCCTGGAACTTTCCATCACTTTAATCAGGACTATTCTTCATAACACTCAGCAGTACCCTATGCAAACACATGCATGCATATCCACTCACATATACACATACATATATACGGACACATGCATATACACTCATGAACATTAGAATATACACACATACACATAAACACATCACAAATCAGACACACACATAAATGTACACATAAACAGACATACAAATAGGGGCATGCAAACATGTGCATGCACAGTATATACACATACACACACGCATTCAGACACAGGCATGGATGCATATGCATGCACAACTACATACAGATATACACATGTAATACACATACATGTATAAATACCAGATCCATGCATAAACACATGTGTATGAAGACACTTATAAATATGCACATATACAGAGACACACAGTTATGCACACATACAATACATATATGTATACTTACATATACCTATAAATACATATGTTTAAATGGGAGTTTATGAACGTCCCCAGTAGGATAGAAGCTCTATAAGAGAAGGAGCTTGGCTTTGTTTACCACTGTATCTAACATACCTATAACAATGCCTGACACACAGAAGGAAGACGTCATCTACCTGTAAATCAAGTAATAAATCTTTGATTTTCTCTTGCTCACTGCTACTATTCATAATGTAACTTTACTGCAATCACATTAATCATAGCTAAACACACACAGAGTATGGCCAGACATTATTCTAAGTGCTTTACAAATAAAAGCTCATTTATTACTCAAATCTATGCAAGAGGTACTATTATTCCCATTTCTCAGATGGGGGAACTGAGGCATGAAGTACTGTCATGGGATCCTCGGGGTGTCACTTTGCCAGCCGGAAACCTCTGTGGCTGGTGGCATCTTCTGCCTGAGTATTGCTCGTGCCTGCTGGGCTCATTCCACCCACTTGGCCCAGCAGGCTGGGCTCAGCTCACGCCACCATCCTGGATCCCACACCTACCAAGGGTGACCCAGGCGTGGAGCAGTGAGGGGTGTGTGGGTGAGCAAGTGCAGAGTCCGGCCACTGCACACAACCAGACAAGCAAGCTGCTGTGGCAGGGGAGGCAGCTACAGGTGCTGGCACAGGTGCCAGCTCCACGCAAGGCTGCAGCTGGATCTGATGTGCTGCATGGGGCTTCTGCTATGGGCACCCGCATCTGGATGAGGGGAACACGGGCACCTGGAGGCTTGGAGATGCCATGAACCTCAAAGCCTTAAAGACAGTGTCACACCCCTGGCTTGGGGAGCCCCTAGGTCTGGGCTCCATGAAGGGCCACAGCTCTTCTCTCCTCATTGCCCACAAAGTAGCGAGTGAGCCGGAGGGATGTGTTTCCAGCCTTGTTTGTATTACAGCTCTTTCAGTCCTGCCATTCAGTGGGTCCTGAGTTCTTATCCTACAACCTGGAAGAATGAGATACACAGACAACTGCAGGGTGAGCAAGGTGGAGAGAAGCTTCATTGAGTGACAGAATAGCTCTCAGAAGACCCAAAGTGGGTAGCTCTTTTCTGCAGGCAGGTCGTCTAGATGAGTGTCCAGCTCTCAGTGGAGAGGAGACCCGAAGTGGGTAGCTCCTTTCTGCAGGCAGGTCATCCCAATGGGTGGAGAAACCCAAAGTGGGTAGCTCCTTCCTGCAGCTGGTAGTCCTGAGTCTGTCCGTGTCTGACTGGGTCCAGGGATTTTTACGGGCTCAGAAGGGAGGAAATGAGTACTGATTGGTCCATGGGTAGCCATGGGTGGACCCAGAAAAAGCAACACAAGTTCTCACTCTGGGCCACAGACTCCACTTGGAACTGGCAGTCCAGCCACCAGGCTTCGGACTGTCCCTGGCTTGAAGGTGGGGTTTCGCCAGGGACCCGCTCCTTTCTGCCCAGGAGCCTGTCTGCTTCCTCCTGCCATCAACCCGCCACCCAGTCTGTTCCTACTGAGGCACCTGCAGGCCTGAGCCGAGCTGCCCTCAGCTCCTGCCATGCTCGTTGGCGCCCAAGGTCCAGAGAGGGCCAAGGTGGCAGGAGGCTAGCGTGTCAGCACCACCTCAAGTGCATGTACACCTGGCTGGATTGTGACAGCACTGGGCTCAGCCACAACTCTGCCCCACTCCAGAGCAGGCACCAGCAATGGGAAGAGGCCAGGGAGTAGGAGCAAGCATTTCCAAGTCTGCAAAGGAAGGGGGGCTTCCTGGGCCCCTGAGAGCGTAGGGATGCCCAGGTCCAGAGCCGCAGCTGGGCGGCTGCAGATGTGCCTGGGAGCATGGGGCTCCCACCCTGCCAACTTGGTAGGGGACAGGGCTCCCACCTGTTCTGGCCCCAGCCAGCTCTGCAGAGTGCATTCCTCTACTGCAGCCAGCATCTTCGCAGTGGCTGCTCCAGATGGGTCACTGCTGCCATCAGTGTCAGATGACTTCCAAGGGCAAAGAGACAGCTGATGGAACCAGTAGTGTGTTTTTAACTATCTTACTGTGTTTACCTCAAGCATTTAAATTTTTACCATCTTCAGAGAGCCAAACTCTTACATCAGAGTCATAGTACAAAGCACAGATACAGATTAGAGGTATGGAAAGGTGGGCTGGGGGGACTGCTGTTGAATGATATAACTGGAGACTAGTATGATTTTTCTATATTCAAAGAAATTTTCCTTCTTAGTTTCCCCAGATATCTATACTAGCTACAGAGTGTACTGAGGCAATGCTCAAGATGCCCATATGGAAAATTTTTAAAATTATTTCTCTTTGCTCTTTACAATGACTGATATGAATGCACAGCTAAGAGAAAACTGAAAACAAGGAAATGAACCAGGCCTGTGGAGAGATAATAAGGAAGAAGCCAGCAGTTTAGATGTGAGGCTGCCGCCTTGGGGCAATAACTAGAGATGTGTATTTTCCCACCATCAGCTGCTGATGTGCAAGACCCAAAGTAAACATTAGTGCTTAGAAACAGTATATGGATGTGAAGCACTATCTGTTGAGTTTTTGTGCCATGAAAAACAGTGGACCTGATCCTACTCTTGCAGCCAGTGACGCAAGTGCAATCTTAGACTCTGGGCCCCCAAACACACACTTTTCTAGCAGTCCGTACCTTTTGAACTTGGAGTAGGAAGTCCTCCTAACAGGTGCTTGGCAGTGTCAGAACCAGTGGCTGGATTACTGTGTGTTTTTTTGTTTTTGTTCCCCAGTTCAGCAAAGGAAAATAACAGCTCAGCTAATTTTCTCGGCCATATACTAATACAGGAGAGAATAAGTGAAACCTTCTGTTTAAAAATGGCCCCAGAATACCAGATACAGTTCTGTAGTAGATGAGATGATCAGAGCTTGTTTAAAATGAGAGGCTCTGGGCACAGAATAAGACACCTTGCTCCATTTACTAGGTACTACTTTTCCATTGTTTGATGCAAGGGTTGCACTAAAGCTGATGTGAAGACAGAGGCACACAAATAAGGGTTTGAGTCTTGGATCCAGTCTTCCTGGTCCTGTAACCTTAGGCAAATCCCTTCACCTCCTCGAAGGTCAGTTTTCCCAACCATTCGTGGGAGGTAAAAATACCTTCCCTATTCCAAGGGTAGTTTAAAAACAGCAAGTCACTACAAAAAGATTAAGATTAATCTTTGAGATTGAGATTGTAAGCATTAATTAACAAATTTAGTAAACAAAATTAACGTCAACATTAATATTGTTTATCTCTCCACCACACAACCCCAATAGCTACGCATCCCATTCCTACCCTGATCTAATAAGCCTGGCCTTATTCCCCATGATTGATGGAACCCAGACTCCTGTGCTGCTTTAAATACACTTTATTAGAGTCACTTCTCCACCCTGGGCCTCAACTTTCTCATCCATAAAATAGATCTACAAACGTCCAGAAGGATATTAAGCAGAAGCTCTATCTTCCACTATAGATACAAATATGCATTGGTGTAAGTATGGGCTAACGTAAGTAAAGGCACAAACATACCTACACACAAATAGATTCACTAGCCAGGTCAACACGGGAGAGCTCATAGGCTCTGCAATCGGTGGGTCCAGGAACCCAACTTTATAATTTATTAAAATGTAACCTTTGGCAGGTTCTTAAACCTTCATCCTTGTATGTTAAAGTCCAAAAATAATTGTAGCTCACAGTGTGGTTGTGAGCTCACAATAGTGAATAGTCAAGTACCTAGCAAAACACTTGGCACAGCATAGGTATTCAACGATTGGTAGGTGAAATAAAAATAACTGCTTTGAGCTCTTTGGAAGGAACTCGAATAGCAGGTGTTTTTATTATTTCCAGCTCTGGAGGAGATTCTTTGGAGCTTTTTGTAGATTGTGACAACAAAACAAAGAGATTTACTCAAGTGTGGCTCAGGAAAACTAAATTACCTATTTAATAACCACCAGTGAAGCTGCCTGTGGCCATTAAATGGGATATAAGGTATAAAATGGAATAACAAATCAGGAGTCATTCCCTTTTCCTAATCTGGAGACAGTGTAGTACAATGGGGCGGGGACCCTGGCTGATGAACTAGGTCACTCAGATTCTAAATTTGACTCTGAAAGTAATATGCTGGGGTAACTTTGGATGATTCACCATTGTCTGGGCCTCAGTTTTCTCATCTGCAAATTGAAGAATTTGGTATACAGAATCTTTGAGCAGCCTTTTAGTTCTAAAGCCTATGATTACTCATTATCCAAACAGGAGTGTATGTATTAAACTCAAAATATTATGGTTTCATGGCAGGTTCACAGCCATATACACTGACGTGTGGCACAAGATTTAAAAACTGGGGACACATGGGGAGCTGGCAATAGCACCAGGCCCTGGATTCTCTCGGTTTTCTTCCACAGAGTCAAAGTCTGGTCTCTCAGCTAAGGCCAGCCTTCTGCAGTCCAGAGAATCACAGCACTCCAAGAAAGCCTTGGAGCCTGGGAACAGGAAACTCAGTTATCCTTCCCCCCACGTATGCTCTCTGCCCCTCCCTCCATCACATGAGCTGTTGCCACGGCTCATGAACTGCCGAGGTCTCAGGCAGTAGTGGGTCGCATTAAACCGAACCTCAACTTAAAACAATAAACTTGCAATCCCATGAATACGTTCTTCCTCTGCCCTCTGTGATTCACATCCAGGAACTCCCAGAGTTGTCCTTGCTCTATCTGCTCAGGGACTGGCACGGTTTTCTCCTTCCAGATTCCACGGCATGACTTTATCTGCATTTCTAATCCCCCCCCACCCCCAATTTCTTGCAGACCGTCTGCCTCTTTGGATCCATATTCTCTCTCATTTTGGACAAGCTCCCTCCTGCCCCCAGCTTTTGGCCAGCGCCTGGCCTGGCTCCTGCGCAGCACGGTTCTGCTCTGGTCTGATCTGCCTACTTGGCAGAAACACATCAATACTGCTTCTGACCCCAGTGTCCTCAGTGCCAACTCATCCCCCCAGGCTGTCTCCTCTGGGTACCAGGTGACATTTTCCACACTTAGAACAAGATTCCAGGCATCCTCAGCAGGGTAGGGCATGGGAATCTATATTTTCTTAAAGTCTCCCTCACCTATATTTACCAATTCTTATTCTGGATTTTTCAAAACCCTCTTATATTTATTATCTTAATTACTAATAATAGTAATTAAATAATTACATTGATTTAGTGAAGACCAGCTATGTGGATTTCATGCTGGATGATGGGCATACAAACGTGAACATGATTTGGTGAAAAAACTGAAATAGTTGTAAAGTATTTCACAGATACAGCATAGAGAGTGATTGGTGCTTTTCTAAGAATGGATTAAATTTGGAGATGTTTCCACAAAGTAACATTTAGACTGAGTGCTGATGGATGAGTAACAAAGGAAAGGAGGTGGAATGTGCATGATGTGCTGAAAGACGGCCAAGTTGTCCCGTGTGGCTTGACTCTGAAATAGATGAGCTAGAAACCATCCTGTCCTCCCTACTCCTCAGGCTTCACTTCTATTATTTTCTTAATCTCACAACTACTTTTACTGAAGAGTCAATTTCACAAAACACATTTCAACAAAGTACTAATGTATCAGCAAAACCCTTATTGTGGGCTGCTTTTTGGCTTCTATAGAAATAAGCTGAATTGATGAAGAGAAATAATATCACTGGAGGTGTTCCAGGAGAGAATAGGGTTTCTCACCTTCAGTGCTACTGACATTTGACATTTGAAGCTGGATAATTCTTTGTTGCAGGGGGTTGGCCTGGGCATTGTAAGGTGTTTGGCAGCATCCCTGGCCTCTACCCACCACAGGCCAGTGCCATTTCCCTTTCCCCAGAAGCAATAAACAAAACTGTCCCCAGACATTGCCAAATGTCCCCTGAGGGGTCAAATCACCCCTGGTTGAGAACCACTGGCCTAGAGAAAAGATATATGAACCTTGGAGGCAGACTCAATTTCAAATCTTGCTATGAGATTAGTTATGTGATTGTGGAAACATTATTCTTTCTGCCTTCAATTCCCTCATGCAGAATGGGGAAACAACCTCTACCTTGTAGGCTTATCGTGAGGAGCAAGATATAAAGTCTGAGCAGTATCAGGTAGAGTACTTGGCACATAGGACACATGTAAGAAATGGTCATCATAGTAGTACCAGTCAGAGTGGTGGTTGTATTTGTTCTAATTAACAATGTTATTATTTTATTATTAGAAATGAAGCCTAGTTGAAGTTTAAAAGTCGCAAAAAATATATAAATTCCACTTTACCAGGAAGCAATAACAGGGAAAGCAGTGTCGTAATTAGATTACTGGACATCACTCCCTCTAGGAATCCTTTAATAATTGTTTAAGTCTCAATTTTAGGCCCATTTTATGTTTTTCCAAAGCCTTCCATACACGGCACAAGTAACCGTAACTGTTTATTTACTTGTCTATTTTCTTTACTAGAATACAAATTCCCAGAAGTCCACTTCTCTCTCATAGTCACTGTCTAACCCCATGAACTAGTAAAGTGGGTCGTCAATAAATATTAAAGACTTTCCTTTTTCAAAATTTGTTACTTGCTCACATTTTTAGGGTCAAATTAAAGAGCAGAGTGGATCATGTTTAAATAGGTAGGCCATTCTTTATAACACAGTGATAAGTGTGCACAAAGCATGGGCTTAAGTCACGCATCTCTCATTTAACTGTGTAGCTCAGAATGTTAGGTAGTCTTGTGAGCCTCAACTGTCTCATCTGACAAATAGAATAATAGTATGTATAAAGTTGCCTTAAGAACTAAGTGTAAGATAAATATCTATTCTTGAGTTTATAATACACTGAGCCTCAGCTGTTTGCTGTGCAAAATGAGGGAACACATACCTGTCCTAACTTCACTACAAAGTTGCTATAAGGAGCAAATTCTATAATGAACATAGATGTGTTTTGTATTAGTCCATTCTCGCATTGCTATAAAGGAATACCTGAAACTGAACAGTTTATAGAAGACAGAGTTTTAATTGGCTCAAGGTTCTGCAGGCTGTGTAGGAAGCATGATGGTGTCTGCTCGGCTTCTGGGGAGGCCTCAGGAAACTTACGATCATGGCAAAAGGTGATGGGGAAGCAGGCACTTCACATGGCCGGAGCAGAAGCAAGAGAGAGAGTGGGGTGGTGCAACACACTATTAAACAACCAGATCTGAAGGGAACTCATGCACTATCATGAGAACAGCACCAAGGGGATGATGCGAAACCATTCATGAGAAATCCACCACCATGATACAATCCCCTCCCACTAGGGACCCCTCCAACACTGGGGATTACAATTTGCATGAGATTTGGGTGAGGACACAGATCCAAACCATATCATGCTTCATAAATCAAAAGTTTACAAACGCAATGGACTATTGCCAATAAGTATATTTCTTTATCCATCATGCTACATTTAGTATATATACTACTTATAAATAAATGTTCCCCCCAAATCACATTATCTAAAGTCGCAGGCTTTAGATCGCAGCCTTTATCCTGTCTTCTAGAACACTGATAATGGTGAGAAATGTTATTGGCATGTTTTATTGTTTACTGGAACAAACTATGTGTTGTTCTAGGGCATGAACCAAAGGCCCTTTTTGCAAGACTGGCTCAATAAATTCTTCCATTTAAAAAGAAAAGAAATTCAAAATCCTCATTTTGGCCTGGCTCTGCAATTGAAATGAGCAGTTTAAACCAATTCAATATCTGGCCCAGATGAGCAATTTAAGCCAGTTCAACATCTGCCAAATAATCCAATATTGGTAATCAAATAGTTGTGCTAAACCAAGGAACAAAGCTTGCTCTTGGCCGAAACTTGGTAATGTGATGAGGGCAAAAAGGAGACAGATTTCCAAACATCTAGAAGAACCCAAACTTTTGCTCCTGCAGAAATAAGCCAAGTATAACTATTGTATAGGGACAATTGCCTTTGAATGAGAGGTTACTCTCTCTCTCAGTTGTAATATCCGTTCCTCATGGAGGGAATGCCATTCATTCATTCACTCATTCACTAAATACGCATGTGTTAAGGGTCCTCCATATGTAAAGCACTCTGCAGGCTGCTGCAGTGGGAGTATGAAACAACAGGTTGCCCAAAGAGTTTATAAATTAGTAGATGAGGCAATGTGGCACACACAAACCTGCAAGCGCAAGACACAGTGGGGGAAAAAGAGAGTGCTTAAGTCAACTTGGGAAGTCAGGGAGGGCTTCCCAGAGGAGAACAGGATTCAAGATTTGATGGATAATCAGGAGTCTGTCTGCCAGATAAGAGCAACTGATTGGGAGGCCGAGGCGGGCGGATCACGAGGTCAGGAGATCGAGACCATCCCGGCTAAAACGGTGAAACCCCGTCTCTACTAAAAATACAAAAAATTAGCCGGGCATAGTGGCGGGCGCCTGTAGTCCCAGCTACTTGGGAGGCTGAGGCAGGAGAATGGCGTGAACCCGGGAGGCGGAGCTTGCAGTGAGCCGAGATCCCGCCACTGCACTCCAGCCTGGGCGACAGAGCGAGACTCCGTCTCAAAAAAAAAAAAAAAAAAAAAAAAAAAAAGAGCAACTGAGAAGAGAAGGGCCTGAGACAGAAATCAGGTTGTTATTGCCTTTCAGGGCAGTTGGGGTGCTGGAGCCAAGAAAAGACCTGGAAAAAAGTTAATGTTATTTTTATAAGCTAGAAAAATATCAGCAGCAGGAGCCCTGGCCAGAACCACCCCCACAAAGTGCAAACAAAGCTACTCCTATCTTCTGACTGTCTGCTGGAGAACTTACTAACCAGCACCTTAAGAACAAAATGTTCTTTTATCATTGATTTTTATTCCCACAAAGCCCTTCCTCCTCTTTTTCCAGAACTGGGAAAAGCATGGGTTGAGTTTTGCTTGCTTCTTTGATCTTTATCCTCCCATCCCAGGCCTCCCTTGGGAATGAAAGTCCAGGGGTATTTCTCTAAAGCAGAGTGCTGACCCCTCATACTAGTCAGAATGTGGGGTTTCAAGCAGGCCATGCCAGGTCAGCATTTGAAGTGACTACAGTTGTCAGGGTTTGTTGGTGAGAGGCCTGGATGGCCTCTTCCTGGGTGGCAATTCCAAATCCAAAGCTGTGTCTGTACTTGACATTCAGAAATCTCTTAACACAGGGTTCATTTAGCCAGTTCTTGAGGCTATTACTGACCTCAACCTATACAGAATCACAAAGTAGTGAATCCTGCATTCTGTTGTCTCTCACTCTCTCACTGCATAACAGGAGACAAAAGTTCTGCGAAGCACCATATTTGTAGGCAGAAACACAATCTAAATCCAGAACTTAAAATTCCATTTTGAGTGCCCTTGTCATAGCATCACAATATGTCTCAGGGATTAGCTGTCCCAAACCTATACTATTAAGCTACAAACATGCAGGCAGGGGAGAACAATGAGAATTTTCTTTCCAAAACGAATGGACTTTGCCTGACTTGTTCACTGCTAATAATCTCCAGTGCCTAGACCAATCACTGACAGGTTGCATTCACTCAATTATATTTAGTTAATATAGAGTTGGACCCATGGACAACCTTTTCAAGATTTTCAGGCATCTGTTCACCTCCACATCCTAATAGGGGTATAGGAAAGGTAGAAATGAAAGGAAACATTTGCACCCAGGCCTCCTAATTTTTTTGAGATATCCAACTCTTGGATTGGCTGTAAGGTGAAGGGTAAAGAAAGAGGCATAAGAAGGCATAAGAAGGCATAATAAGGATAAAACATAGTCAACATATATTAAGTAAGTCTGTATCAACCCGTCATCATGGACTATCACCTTCCTGTGCCCTTCCCAGCCACTGCTGGCATCTAAGTTCAGGCCTTAAAGAATCCAAGATTCTTATTCTATCTTTCCATTAAAACAAAAAAAAACTATTCTATCTTTCCACTAACAAAAATATGGGGGAAAGTTACTAACTTACTGCATTAGTCCATTTTTATGCTGCTGATAAAGACAAACCTGAGACTGGGAAGAATAGGATGTTTAATTTGACTTACAGTTCCACACGGCTGGGAGGTCTCATAATCATGGTGGAGGGCAAAAGGCACTTCTTACATGGTGGCAGCAAGAAAGAATGAGGAAGAAGCAAACGCAGAAAAGCCTGATAAACCCATCAGATCTTGTGAGACTTACTATCACGAGAACAGCATGGGAAAGACTGGCCCTTATGATTCAATTCCCTCCCCCTAAGTCCCTCCCACAACATGTGGGAATTCTGGGAGATATAAGTTAGTTGAGATTTGAATAGAGACACAGCCAAATCATTATCATTCCGCCCCTGGCCCCTCCCAATCTCAGGTCCTCACATTTCAAAACCAATCATGCCCTCCCAAAAGTCCCCCAAAGTCTTTACTCATTTCAGAATTAATCCAAAAGTCCACAGTCCAAAGTCTCATCTGAGACAAGTCAAGTCCCTTCCACCCATGAGCCTGTAAAATAAAAAACAAGTCAGTTACTTCCTAGATACAATGCGGGTACAGGTATTAGGTACATACAGCCATTCCAGGAGAAATTGGCCAAAACAAAGGAGTTTCAGGGCCCAGGCAAGTCCAAAATCCAGCAAGGCAATCAAATTTTAAAGCTCCAAAATGACCTCCTTTGACTCCAGGTCTCATATCCAAGTCACACTGATGCAAGAGGTGGGTTCCCATGGTCTTGGGCAGCGCTGCCTCTGTGGCTTTGCAGGGTACAGCCTCCCTCCCAGCTGCTTTCCCAACAGTCCTCCAAAGTCTTAACTCATTTCAGAATTAACCCAGAAGTCCACAGTCCAAAGTCTCATCAGAGACAAGGCAAGTCTCTTCCCTCTATGAGCTTGTTACCCAGTACCAAAGTTGTGTCCACATTTTCAAGTATCTTTTCAGCAATGCCCCACTCTACTGGTACCAATTTACTGTATTAGTCTGTTTTTATGCTGCTGATAAAGACATACCCGAGACAAGGAAGAAAAGGAGGTTTAATTTGACTTACAGTTCCACATGGCTGGGGAGGTCTCATAATCATGGCGAAGAGCAAAAGGCACTTCTTACATGGTGGCAGCAAGAAAGAATAAGGAAGAAGCAAAAGCGGAAACCCCTGATAAACCTATCGGATCTCGTGAGACTTATTCACTATCACGAGAATAGCATGGGAAAGACCGGCCTCCATGATTCAATTACCTCCCCCTGGGTCCCTCCCACAACATGTGGGAATTCTGGGAGATACAACTCTGTGGAGATTTGAATGGGGACACAGCCAAACCATATCACTTACAAGCATTTGCATTTTACGGGGAACAAAAGGCTTAAGCCAAAGCTTCTAAGGGTAAAACTTCTGCCACTGAACATCTCTGTTTAGGAAAAAGGTGAGGGTCATTGACAGTCTCCCCTCCTGGAGGACATAGTGAGTCCTGGGCAGAAGTGAGAAGGTGTGTTTTGGCACGTCCCTGAGGGAAGTCTGGGAAACTGACAAGGAAACTGTAGTGCCTGCGGCTCTTCAAGCAGCAGTTCTCTTTCTTTCAGCATATGCCGGTCCCAGCCAAGTGATTGTCACCCAGGTAGGGGTGGATGATTGACACTGTCACCCCAGGGATAATTTAAAAAGCATGACAGAGAAAGCTTTTGTGGCCTCACACATGATCTGGAATGTCAGGATTGCTAGGGGACAGAAACACTCCATGTCTGCCTAGACCTCAAGTTCTCTCTGTGCTTGTATGTAAAAACCAAAATCTTAACATTCCAATCAAAAGCACACATTGCTCACACTGAAAAGTATTTGGAGAGAAACAACCTTGCCTGTAATCAGAACTACGTTACATAGCATTCAACCAACCTACATATATTATGAGTTGTTTACTAATTCTTAGGCACTGTTTTAGATCCTGAGGACAGAGAGATGAACAGGACAGACATGTCCATAGATTGATGAGAGCGATCCTGCTCTGGAAATCCATGTAGTATGTAGAACAAGGCACCATTTAATAATCCGTTGCATAAGAAAACAGATTAATCTTCACTCTACTGTTTAAAGCCATTTCACCTTATTCTTGCCTTAATGTGACTATTCATTTAATAAACTTAATAAGCAGCTATAGGAACCAGACATAGGGCTTGGCATGAAGGATACAGGACAGATAACATAATGTTCCTGTTCTCAAGGAGTTCACACTCTAATGGAAATGACATGCAGATATATTTGAAATTACAATGCAATATGATCATTTCTTCAAATAGTGTGCTGAAAAAAAGCATAATTTAGAGAATTTCTAAATACACCTGAGTGTTTCATGGAAGGCTATGCAGAGCAGAAAGCATCTGATATGGGTCTTGCAGTTAGAGGAGGAGTTAGCCAGCTGGAGAAGTGGAGGACCAATCATTCTGGACAAAGAACATGTGTGCCAAGTCACAGAGGTGTAAATGCATGGGCAGAGTATGGAAGTGTCTGAAAGTATACACACACAGAATGGAAACACAGCTCCACAAAGCAGTGCCTTCCCTTACTTTGTGAAATGTACTCTGATGTTTTCCACTTTGTTCTATTCAATTCTGTTCCATTCTGTTGTGCAAATTCAGTGGTCATGTCCTGCTAAATTGATCTCATGAATTATAAATCATAGTTTAAAACAAAACATTGTTAGAATGAAAGGCTAGGAAAAAAATATATGGCTACAGTTGAGATGAGAGATGCTGAGAACCAGAACAACTTCCCCTGCAAAAAACACACACAACCTGCAATAAGGATGAGGAAGTCATCATTCTTTACTGTAATTCTTTGTTTCCCTGTGTGTTTTCCCATTAAAAGCTGGGGAAGAGACTTTGGTTTTATTTGGTTTTGTTTTAAGTTCACTGTCTTCTAGCACCATGCCTGGACATGGTAAGTGTTCAACGGGTGTTTTATGAATGAACAAATGAATACATGAATGAAAGACTTGAGAGTTATGTACAAGATAAAATCAAGACTGCAGCCAAGGAACTGGATACAGGACATAAGCCAAATATATTATTAAAATAAATCTAAGAGACTTATAAGGGTTTTGGAGTACCTTACAAAAAAACAGTAGAGCTAAGTGTGGCAAGAAATTAACATATCTTTTTTGAATTTTCAGTAAACAAAAGAACTATGCAGAAAGTTATTCAAATACATTTTTTTCTATTGCCATGTATAAAGAAATTAATACAATTATAAATAAATTTTATCATTAATGAAAAGTTCTGTAATTCTATCCAAATGCCTAGCTGTAAAAAGGCTTTTCATTATTATATCCTGAAACACCAAAGTCCTTGACCTTTGCTTTAAAAACAGAAAAGGAGTGTCTTCGGTTCTAGGGAATATTCCATTTGAATACGGTTTTGGCTGTAGGCAACAAATAAGAGATTACCTAGTCCTCCTGCATGGGCATCAATGAGTGAAGCTGCGACCGCAATCCCAGGGAGAAGGCCAAGGTCTCTTGCTGCCTCTGGTGTGAGCCCATTTCCAAGAGAAGCTCCAGGAGGTAGCACTTGGTTTCCTGGGTAGACATGAGAAAAAACAAACACCATCAGTTTGAAAAACACAAAAGTAAACAGAGGGTTTTTTTTAAGAGAAACTCTTTGCTCTCTCCTCCCTCCTCTGCATTTGCAAAGATAAAAACCATGCAGTCATCAAGAGTCCCTTTGCTCATCCAGTGACTTTAGTGTACGTGCTTGGTACCTATGGGTCATGCTTTGTGGAGCTTTACAAACAAGGAACTCTAAAGCATCATTCAAACCAGATAAAGATTCTGAAAATGGGAAATTTCAAAAGGAATATAAACACAGTAGCCTCTTAAATACAAGGTTTAAATGCTCAAACCATTCCAAATGGGCTTCCTAACACAGCAGATCTACTAACCTACTTAAACGCACGTAAACCCACATGTTCACACATCCATACACCCTCTCTAATGAACGTATATTCCTAAGTCAAGAAAACTTACTCTTTCAGTTGCTTCCTGGCAGAGGATAAGAGGAAAAAGGTGTACTTTGTACCAACAAATAATTAGTTAAAAAGTTTTTCTCAGCTGGAAAAAATATTCCAGTCTAAACCTTTGCAAATTTTACAAGGCTGCCACTTGCACAATCATATAATACAATTTGAATGATGTTCTTTGGAGTTGTGCAATGCAGTGACCCTGATTTTTCAAGTGACCTTGAATTCTTGCAGTCAGGCCTTCAGTTAAGAATTGATTGTCTTGCTTTGTGTGGGTGCTGTGGGGCTGTGAAAAGCAGTCCTTGCCCCCAACCTAGTTAGGAAGACAAGATAAGAACCCAGAGAACCACGTAAGACAGAATAGAATGAAATGATCCATCTGCTCCTAGGTGTTAAACAGAGCCCGAGCCCTCTCTCATCCCCCAAGGATTCTATAGTATTTCTGCACTGCAGGGAGGGGCTAGGAGTTGACTCATAGATATATTAAGACCCCTTTGAGCCCCAAGATAGAATCTGGGTGCATAATCAGCAATTTTTGAGTGCTAAGATGCCACTTGTTAATTGTTCCATGGAGCTCAAGGACTGGGCAGAGGTGCTCCAGGACCTCTGGGGGTAGAGGTGAGGGTGGAGGTTGGGAGAGGGGTCAGAGAGTGAACAGCTTAACCAACCTCCTCTAAATGGAACCAAAGCACTTTGACGACACCATTTTTATCCATTTTAAGAGCTTCTATCTACAATTGAATATGAAAACAAGTTTAGCTAAGAAGAGTAAGACTGAAACCTCTGCAGTGACTTCTAGAAGAACTCTGCTGTCCAATATGGCAGCCACTAGTCACATGTGGGCTGAGCACTTGAAGTATGGCTAGAGTAACTCAGGGACTAAATTCTTCATTTTATTTAGTTTTATTTAGTTTTAACTTCAACTTAAAAACTGATATTAAATTCAGTTACTGAAAAACTTTTAAGTATGTTCGGAACAACTTGGGTATGCGAATCTACTTTTTCTAGATTAATTTAAGAAATCTAAATCAAGTATTTCCAACAAAAATCTAGCGTCTGAATTGAGAGGTGTTAAGCGGAAAATACACACCAGATATCAAAGATTTCATCTGGAAAAATGAATGTAAAATACCTCAATAATTTTTATATCAATTCCATGTTAAAATAATAATTTGAATATACTAAGTTAAATAAGATACATTAAAAATTAGTATCACTTTCTTCAGCATGGCTACTAAAAAATTTAAGATTACATATGTGGCTCATATTATATTTCTATTGGACACTGATGGTCTGGAGGATAAGTATAAGATGCTCAAAGGATGGGGCAGAGAACAGGAAAATCTTATTCTGTTTCAAATGCCAAAGTAGCAGAAACCTGGAAGAGAGCAGTGTCCTTGGCTTTGTATAATACGGTTCTGGACAATATCTTAATTATGTCACTATGGCTAGTATCTAACACAGGAGAGACTGCACTCCAGTTTGCTGAGCACTTTCATGCTAGGGACTGCACTAAGGACATAGCATGCATTTTCTCATTTCATTTTCATATTAACCCTCTGTGAAGGGTACAATAGGACCCATACTACCCCCATTTTACAGACAGATGGGAAAATTGTGGTTTACAGAAGAAAAATAAACACCCTAGAGACAGCCTAAGAGCTGAAGACAGGCCATGGGTTCTACTCTGACTGATATCCACACCTCTGCTCTTATTCATTACATTACCTTTTGGAGTAAAAGTTGTTTAAAAATGGGTTCTGAATGGATGAAAGGATCAAGAGAAGTATTTTTAGAACAAGCATTATGTATGTTAAAAAAAAAAAAAAAGAAAAAAGAAAAAGAAAAAGGAGCACCGTTTAGAAATCTTGCCTACTAAATTGAGATTTTTTAAAAATGGTTTTCATAGGAAGGTCAAAATGGAAATTCTGTTCCACCTTCACCCCCAATCTCCACAAACATAAAAGGTGTAATTTTTATAAAAAAGGTTCTAGACAGGATTAGCAGGGTGGGGCACTCTTCCAAGTTTTCTCTATAGTAATTTAGGAAGAAACCTTAGCTGGTAAAGGAGCTTAATTTGATTCTATGTCCTCTAGGCTCAG
This sequence comes from Homo sapiens, assembly GCF_000001405.40. Classification (NCBI taxonomy): domain Eukaryota; kingdom Metazoa; phylum Chordata; class Mammalia; order Primates; family Hominidae; genus Homo; species Homo sapiens. Next base: position 59,509,768 of record NC_000001.11, on the reverse strand, counting down.
AACATGAGGCTGCAGACCACTGCGAGGCAGAGAGAGTCCTGGGCATGCAGACAGGAGATCTGGGTCTAATTATAGGCTATAGGACCACAGGGAGCTTCATCAGCAGAGGATGCGTCTTGAGCAAGGACAGAAAAAAGGGAGAAGGGGCCCCTAAGGGAACTATCAAAAGGGCTAGGTAAATTGGAACATAGGCTGGGGTGTGAACTGGTAGGGGGTGGGTGTTGAAGGACAGAGGAAGCTGGGGAGGCAGATGGGGCAGTGGATGCAGGGCCTTGTAATCCATACTTAAGTGTTTGAACTTAATCATGAAGCCCACTGTAAACCACTAAAGGAGCATTAAGCCAGGAGGAAAGCGATTAAACTTGTGCTTTTTTAAGCACTCTCTGGCAGTATTATAGCAGAGGATAGACTGGGGTTAGGGAAAATAGTGTGAATCTATTTCAGTAATCAAAGAAAGAGAGAGAATATAAGGATCTTCACTGAGATATTGGTAACGGAGATGTAGAAACAGAGGCAGACAGAAGGGATTCCATGGAACAAGAAATAACAGGTCACAGTGGTTGCGTGGATATAGGAAGCATGGTAGAGACTGAGATACCATGGCTCAAACTCCCCCTTAAGGATGGAGTAAAGTCAGCAGACAGCTGCCAGATGTTCCAGGGCCTGCCTCAGTTGCAGAGAGCTGCCTTCCCAAGGTGATGCACCTCCCAGGACAGCCAGTACCTGGTGACTTTGCAAAGCAGAGGCAGAAGGGCTCTGATAGACACCACTCACTCCAGAGACTCTGCTGAGTTCACCAAGGTGCTGCAGGAATGCACCTCAGTTCAGCTCTTTTCCCTCTACCCAGTCCTTCTCTCTCTTCCTTCTTTCACAGCCAACCATCCCTAATAAACACCTTATCCCCCCAAATCTGTCTCAGCCTTTGCTTCTGGAAAACCCAACCTACAGCAGTGAACCAGCCTTCTCCTCAATCCAGTGGTTAGGGATGAAAATAAATATATACAAGGACAAATATCCCATCTTTCATTTGGAACCACAGCCTTCAGGAATAGGCTATCTGGACTCCAAGCAGGAAGGAGCTTTGTTTATTTAGAGACCAAAATGAAACAGCTTGGCATGAGAGAGGATGATAGAAATAGGTGAGAATCCCTGAGAAATCACCCCTTCAAAATCACACTCTAAGTTTATCAGCCAGAGGTACACTGAGGGCACTAGAGCTGTCAGAGGCAAACATTAGTGCCTCCTGACAACTTTTCCCAATATAATCCTTGTTTGGCTTTTCTTTCACCATAAAATTAAATTATTCACAGCATTGCTTTTCCCAGAAATCAAGACTTCACTGCCTGAGCATTTGCAGTTCTTTCTAGGCTTCATTCAAGCATTCATTCATGCATTTTAACAAACATTTCAGAAACAATAGAACTAATGATTGCCTGCATAGATTTCCATCTACCATGTGCTAAGATCTAGGTGCTGAGGTCTCATATTGTGGTTTGGGACAAAGATGATGAAAAACTAAGACTCTTAGGGCCATGTAGAAAATGCTAGAAAGGTGAAATGTGTACATGGTGTTCCCAGAGAACTGTGGAGGGTCCAGTTAGGGTGGCTAGTAGAGTGAATACAGTCTTCAAGGTGAAGATGACTTTCAAGCCTGTGTGGAAAGGCAAGTTGGAGATTGGTGGTTTCAGTGCTGGCATGCTCCGGGGAAAGGGATGACAGCAGAGCAAAAAGTGAGTTTCCTGTAGGGAGCCCTGAGGGGCATGGTGTGTTTGAGGCATTTAGTATGTCGCAAAAAGGGGAACAAGGAGGAACAGAGAACTGGAACAGACGGGACAAGAGGCAGCGGAGGGCTTCAGGCGTGGCCAGGCAAAAAGGAATTGCCCAGAGGGGCACGACTGTAAGTGCTCAGGTTGGGTTTTTAAGAAGATAAATGTGGCCGGGCGTGGTTGCTCATGCCTGTAATCCCCAGCACTTTGGGAGGCCGAGGCAGGCAGATCACAAAGTCAGGAGTTTGAGACCAGCCTGGCCAACATGATGAAACCCCGTCTCTACTAAAAATACAAAAAAAAAAAAAAAAAAAAAAATTAGCCAAGCATGGTTGCAGTTGCCTGTAATCCCAGCTGCTTGGGAGGCTGAAGCAGGAGAATCGCTTGAACCCAGGAAGGCAGAGGTTGCAGTAAGCCGAGATTGCGCCACTGCACTCCATCCTGGGCAACAAGAATGAGACTCCGTCTCAAAAAAATAAATAAATAAAAAAGAAGATAAACACACAGTGTAAAGAAAAGCTTGGGGAATAATTTTTATATTTAAAACAGTCAAACCAAGTGAAAAATAGAGGCTGCAAAACATGCAGTATATGACTTCCTTTTGTTAAATTAAGTTTAACTTAAAGGTGTCCGTTTGTAACTTCAGCCTAAAGGTTTCTTCATACACAGTGACTGTAACTTAACTGGATTTGTAAACACACTGTAACCTACTCTTGTAACTAGAAGCTGAGTCTCAGCCAATCACAGAAGACATACTTCAACCACCCACAGGCGGCCAACTGTTCAAACTCTGTTCAAATAAGGCCGATGCAGAGCTGTACCCAATCCAGCTGTTTCTGTACTTTACTTCCATTTTTCTGTACCTCACTTCCCTTTTTCTGTCCGTAATTTCTCTTCAACCATGTGGCTGAGCAAAAGTCTCTCTGAACCTATTCTGGTTGGGGACCTGCCCAATTCATGAATCATTCTTTGCACAGTTAAACTGTTAAATTTAATTTGCCTAAAGGTTTTCTTTTAACAGCTGTAAGAACAACAACAATGAAAGTAGATGAACTATTTGTAAAAATACATTCCTAGGGGAAAAAAATACAGAAAATAGGTTTTCTCTGGGTGGAGGAATTATGAGTGATTTCTTTTTTCTTTCCTTTTTTTCTTTTTTCTCTAATTTCTAATTGGTCTACATTTCTTGTGTAATTTTTTTTTTGAGACAGAGTCTCGCTCTGTTGCCCAGGATGGAGTGCAGTGGCACAATCTCAGCTCACTACAACCTCTGCCTCCCAGGTTCAAGCGATTCTCATGCCTCGGCTTCTCAAGTTGCTGGGACTACGGGCACACGCCAGCACGGCTGGCTAATTTTTGTATTTTTAGGAGAGACAGGGTTTCGCCATGTTGGCCAGACTGGTCTCGAACTCCTGACCTCAAGTGATCCACCCACCTTGGCCTCCCAAAATGCTGGGATTACAGGCATAAGCCACCATGCCCAGCCTCTTGTATAATATTTTAAAAGATGTTTTTCCCCCTTAAATCTGGTCAGAATCCCACCTTGCCATTAAAATGAATGAACTTGAATTAAGGTATAGATTTGGAACTCCAAGATAAATTCAGAAAAAATGGCAAGATGCAGAATAGTATTCTTAGTATGATCATGTGATTTTTTTTTTTAAAGAAAAGGATATAAAAATGTAAGCACATAAACTTCCAGAAAAACCCTAGAATTTTGTCACAGCATGGGTTGGGATCCAGTGTAGGGTACTCTTCTCTAATGTTTGTGTTTCTTATATCCCATGACCTTGTATGTCTTTTGTGATCAAAACAATCTTACGTTGAAATAAAAACAAAATAAAGGAGAATACTGGACACTTTTTCCAAACACTGCTCCACAGTCTGAAGGCAGGAAAGAGACCCAAGGGCAGTTCACCTATTCTCTTGATTTGGCTGTCTCTGTCTCGGTGTACACACCCTCACCTGGGTATGTAAAAACACTATCACTCTGAGAGCTCTTAGGCTCAAGTCTGCTGAATTCCCATTTGGATGGGCAGATTCAGTCTGAGTGGTCAAAAGCTGGAATCTACAATTATCTGGTGGTTGCAGTCCCTCTTCACAGGCGGGGGCTCCTATTACACCAAATCTTCCCCTACCAGTTTTTCAATTATCTATGACTAATGAGCACTTTGGGAACAGTTTCAGACACACACATAATCCTCTTTCCTGATGTCAGCAGCAGAAATTAATGACTATGTGGACTGCTGGGAGACAGAAAATGCATTATAATGGTCAACAGAACTGTTATCCTCTCCAGGAAGGGGTAAGTGGGGGCGGGGTGTTGAATTAACTGGAAGGTTCAGTGTTCTTTTGTCTTCCCACATATAATGAGATGAAACCCAGGAGGAGAGTTGGTTCCAGGCCCATGGAAATGTCAGAAAGAGCTTTGGGCATGGGTGGCATGTGACCCTGCTTCCTCTGTGCTTGGCACTGGGGGCCAGCCCCCAGCTCAGTTTTGCCAAAGTCAAGAGGCCAATCAGATTGGCTGGGAGAGTACAAAGTGGCACCATGTCTTACCAGCAGAGAGGGTCCTGGAGTCCTTTCAGACTGAACCTACAATCTGGTTTAGGGGTGGGGAAACAAAACTTTATGATAGCCTCATCACTTACTACAGAAATGTTTAATGAGTACCTGATACGAGCCAAGCACTGTTCTAATGCTAAAAATGCATTAAGGAACAAGATAGTTAAGGCCCCTACGCTCAAGTAGCTTACTTTCTAGTCGACACTATTCCCATCCAATACCTCTTCTTATGCCATCTTGTAGTTATTACATCTTGTAGACACCTATGCAATTTGGACTGAGTTTTATATAATGTTATATCCCTGGCCCGATAGTCTGGCCTATAAGAGGTGTTTAATAAAGAAACACACACATATTTTTAATCCAACTTAAAAATTATGACCCTTACGTTGTGTTTTATTTTTTCCCCTATTTATACCTCGATCTCTCTTTCCCACTAGACAGAGAATAGTTCAAATTATTTTATTTACCTCTATATTCATTTCCCCTCAGCACAACGTCAGCAGTGTCTAGAACATAAGTTCTCAGCAATGTTCATTTAGCTGAACTTAGTTTTTTTAAGACGAGAGATCATAAGACAAAGATCAATTAATTTAGACAAAAACATTAAACATACACTCACACAGGAAGCTGAATATCAGTTGGGAGAGTAAAGAGGAGAGACTGTATTAAGTTTAACTCTTGATCTTGAATGCTACTGGGACAAGAAATGTGTTTTCTAACATAATCCCACCAGTAATACACTTTCATCTCTCTATCTTATTAAAATGGAGTATCTCAAGGCTGTTGAGGGAAAAACTCTGAAATCATGTTTTTCCTCTGGTCTTACACCACAGCAATCATCCACATAGAAGGTGACTTCTGTTACTAAATGTGTAGGAGTTTCTCCCAACCACCAAGCAAGCACTTAATTCTGTAGCAGACGCCAGCTGGATGTCATTTAGTTCAATTCTGACATTATCTACTTGGAGATTGCATCAGATCTCACAGATTGAAGGCTCAGTCCCCAAGAATGCCCCCAACCCCACGCACCAGACACCAGTGGCAAGTCCAACTTCCACAACTTCTGAACTACTGGCTTCAAGTTGGGGTTCTCACAACCCTGTCTTTGGGTTTGATTAATTTGCTAGAGCAGCTCACATAACTCAGGGAAACACGTTTATTGGTTTATTATAAATACTATTACAAAGGATACAGATGAACAGATGCACATGGCAAGGTAAGGGGGAAGGGGCGCAGAGCTTCCATGCCTTCCCTGGGCACTCCACCCTCCAGGAACATCCATGTATTCAGCAATCAAAAAGCTCTCCAAACCCTGTACTCTTGGGTTTTTATGGAGGCTTTTTTACACAGGCATGATTGACAACCATGTAAAAATATGATTGGACAAAAAGCATATGATCTAAATCCAGCAAGGACTATCTGCTCAGACTTTTTTTGGCCTCTCTGTGTAGCATTCTTTCCACTAGGCTATGGGGCAGGACCCTCTCTGGAATGAGGGTCTTCTGATCCATAATCAAATTAGCATCCTACCTTGGGCAGGTGAAGAAGGACCAGAGGGGGTCACTGAGAGAGACTGTTGCCTGAGGCCTCAAGTGCCCCAATGTTATAATAAGGGCTATGGGAGTTAACCAGGAATCATGGGCAAAAACCTATATATATGCATTTGTGGTGTTATTATACATATTTTTTTCACCCATGATTCCTGCTAACTCTCATGTTCCTTATATTTAATTTAAAATTATATTTATTTTAATTGAATATAACATTTAATTATATCTATATCATGTATATATATTATATATATAATACATATTTTATATATATATATATATATATATATGGCGACACCACAAAAGCCAATGCGTATACCTAGAAAATAGGTGACCACCAGCAGGCCCAAGCATCTCATTACACATAGCAGATGCTACAGTGGCAAGATATTGTAGATACCACCTTTTTAGTGAAATAGAGGTTCTCAAATTCTCTTTGCCTGGTCAAGTCTGGTTCAAGAAGTCCAACAAGCAACTGGTAACTATTGTAGGTCAGTGTTCAGAGGAGTGCTGTACATAATTTGTATTTTAACACAATAAATATTATAATAGTAATAGTGCCCATTTATCAAAACCTATGAGCTTTTAGTCACTGCTCTTCTTACTTTTCAGTTGCTATCACCTTCATTGCTAACACCAAACCAATGGTATTAGAATTAGATTTTATAGTAATAGAATTAGATTCTCTACATGAAGAGTCTATGATATTGCAACCTATTATTCTACAGTTGTAGAAATACAAGCACAGAAAGATTACATAATTTGTTCAAAGTCACTATGTAATGGGACATGGTCAGGATTTTAGCCCAAGATTCTCTGACTCCATGGTATGGCGTCTTCCTACTATACCATGTAGGTTAGAGAGGGCAGGCATAGAATGTGATGAGTAGAAAAGGAAGACCACCTCATTTGCAGGAGGCTCCCCTGGTAGGTCCTGTCTAGGAACAAAACCACAAGAGTCATGAAATCCGAACATGCTGAATCTTTTAGCTTCTTCCAGTCCTCTCCTCTGATTCCTTCTCTGTTCCAAAAACAGAGACACGGGATTTTGAATGGCCCATACAGACCATCAACTTCAGTGTATACATTTTACAGTAGAGAAAACTGAACCCAGAGAAGGAGGTGGCTTCCCTGGAGTCAACCAGTTGTGGGAGCAGAGTCTAGATTGAATCCAGAGCTCCTGACTCAAGGAAGGCTTCTTCCACGTTGTCAGCACTCCCTGCTATGGCAGCACCATCCTGCATCTTCCCCCACCTGGAGTAGGAAGCTCATCTAAGCCAGGGCAATAAGTCACAAAGAGAACAAGGGAGTTGGCAAAAATTCAACAGATTCCAGGAGTGTGGGCGGCCAATTCTGAACTATTCAGAGCATAGTCTTTTTAGCTTGAAATCATCATCCACTTTGGCACCCACAGTGACCCAATTCTCTAGATAATTGCTGGTGCCCTATTTTGTTCTCACCTAGCCTAAGGCCACATGCAAAAAGCCTTCCCTGGGTAGATCATAATTAATCACTCTTTCCTCTACAATCCAACAGCATGTTTTTTGGAATTACATCATTCTGCTCTACATAATGGCTTTTTCCCTTGTGCTTCCCTCTTCTAATTTAGATTATAATCGCCTTGAGGGCAGAGCTCTTTTTGTAGATAATATATCCATAAGAGGCAGGTGGTTTAGCATAGCACTTGGGAGTTCAGGTTAGGGGGTGGACAGGCTTGGATGGTGGTGGCTTTATCACTCACAGGGCTTGTGACCTTGGGCAAGTGATTTAACTTCCCTGCAACGGTTTCCTCACCTGTAAAAAGGCTATAATAATGTTATTTTTCTCCCAGAGTGGTTATAAGAATCAAGCAAGATAATGCAAATAAGTGTTTTAGCATGTTGTCTGCCACATGACAAATGCTAGACAAAAGTCAGATAAAATTATGGTTATTATGACTCCCTATTCCCAGTGTATTGGACATCGCCTGACACACAGAGGGTACTCAGCTCATTCTGGCCGAGCTTACAAAGCTTGAGGAGAGATCCTTGATGTTACAGCATGTGGAGATATATGCTTTTGGGGTCATGAGAGCAAACTGCAGAACCTGTGAAAGCTGTTAAAAAATTCACAGTGGTGGAATTCAGTTTTCTAGCACAAAAAGTTTCTCCCTATGGTCATGTCTCCACGGCATGCCTTCAGAGGGAAATGCTTTAAAAGTGCAGAAGGTGTTCTCTTTAGAGTTATTTTAAGAACAAAACGCTTGTTTCAAAAGGAAAATTCATTATTTTGTCAGCAAAATACTTGACTGTTAAGATGTCCAATGCTTTCAAGACCCATGCAAACAGTTCTACCATGGAGAGTTACCCCACTTCTAGGAAAAGGAAAACTTGGGAAATACATGAAAATACTTTAGGTGTCATTGTGCTAAAAATATTACAAGGTTTAAAGCAGTGGTTTCTACAATTTTGCTTTTTTTTTTCACAATCAAATACAAAGATCACATAAAGAAAACTAGGGATTTATATAGGTTTCTCAATTTTTTATCCTGTCTCATTTACTAATTAAAACCAAATCTTACAATGAGGATTTATTTGACACAAAATTGTATCACTAAAAACATAGGAAGCAGAGGATCTCAAAATAAAGGATGTTCTTTTTTAAGGTAAATACACTTCCTTTTATGACCTCATGTATTTATTGCATCACACACCAGTGAACACTTTGTCAAGGGCCAGCGTTGGTTTCTCGTCTGGACTACTGTTTGCAAACTGCTGACTTACAAAATGGTAACAGCCTCCTAACAATGGGTGAATCTACAGGATGTCAAGCAGCAACTCTCAGGTGAACCACTCAGTCAGTGGATCTGGTGTTAACTATACAATGCCAAATGTCTTCTGGTGATCTGAAGACATCAGGGGCTTTTCTATCATGTAGACCAAACATGATTCAGGTAACTGACAAAATTTTTCACTTCCCAACCAGATGTCTTACTTGCATAGAAATGAAGCCCAACTTGTACTTTCATGTGCAAATAGGCTAGACATAAATTCACCCCTGGAGGGCAGGATTAATTGCTTATCCTCAACGAACGCTAAATTACATATTATTTCTTCTTCTATTTCCAACTATTTTACCTTTGAAGAAGGTTTTCTGCTATTGTTTTGAAAAGCACACATTTCATCTTAGAAATGGTCTGTCTTTTTACATGTTTCTTCCTTTTTTTTTTTTTTTTTTTTTTTGGCAAGAAGGCAGTGTGCTACAATGAAGAGTGTGATCTTAGAAGTCAGGATAATCTGAGTTCTAATTCCATGCACCTACTTTCCCAAACTTTAAGGGCCTTGCAAAAAAGGCACTTAAAATCCCTGAATTCAGTTTCTCTGCAGATATATATCATAAAAGCCATCTATAAGAGGCACTGTGAAGATTTGAGATCATTTATTCCTATAATATGTATTGGGTGCTTGCTCTGTGCCTGGTACTGAGAGACCATGGAGAACCACAGTGTCTGCCTGTCCTCCAGGGGCTCTGTCAGTAACAACACACTCATGCCTAACAAGCTGGAATGACAAACGTACCATAAAACTAAGGTGATATCTTTATTCAGGATTTTAAATAAAATTATGAGTAACTCCAACTGTTGCTGATCCTTAAAGATGAATATCAAGTTTATAAAAGGAAGGATATGTCTGAAACCTTTGCTCTTCCTTAAATCTACTTTCAAGCATACCCTGGAATTTGCTCTGATCATATTTGTTTAAAGAATTCACGTGGTTATCAATGAGCTTCCACCTTCTATGCCGTTGTCCTGACAACCAAGCATTTACTAGACAGAATATGGAAAACAGGTAACAATGTGTCTCTACAGTCAGGGTTGTAGGCAAAATTCGACAGTACAGAGACAATCAAATGACTAGGGTCTTTGTGTTTGAAATCCTTAAAGGGAAATACAAACATATATATGTATATATTTACACACACACACATACATATATATACATGAATAAAAGAGAGTAAAGATTTTACAGAGAAATTAACTGGGCAAGGAGAAGCTGCTATGCATGACTCACTTGTACTTTAATAGCAGCTATGTTTCAAGAGTCAGGTCACAGGTAATGTTGCACATAAGGAAGAAAGGCTAAGTCTGCTGTTACTGTTGTTCAGTTACACTAATAAGATGTTAGGTTCTTTTCCTAGCCTATGTTTCACCAAAGCCAGAAATATCTCAAACATATGAAGAAATGGAATACGACTATGTTCTTAAACTTTTTTTCCAGGACCAAAACTTTTTTTTTCCAAATGAAATCCTCTATAGCACTCTAGCACAGCAGTCTCCCCTTATCTGCAGTTTCGCTTTCCATGGTTTCAATTTCTCATGGTCAACTCTAGTACAAAAATATTAAATGGAAAATTCCAGAAATAAACAATTCATAAGTTTTAAATTGCACACCATTCTGAATAGTGTGATGAATTCTCACGTTATCTAGCTTGGTCCCACCTGGGATGTGAATCATCCCTTTGTCCAGCAAATCCATGCTGTAGGCACTACCTCCCTGTCGTCCGCTTAGTAATCCTCTCAGTTACCAGATCAAAAAAAAAAAAAAAACAAACATAGTATACATAGGGTTCAGTACTACCCATGTTTTTAGGCATCCACTGGGGGTCTTGGAAGGTATTTTCCATGGACAAGGGGGAACTACTATATATAATTATTCTCTGGTTCAAGCAGAGAAGAAAGTGTCCAGGGGTGATACATGCAACAGCTCTGGCACCAGAGGATCATCCAGATTTGGGGGGCTGAGAAATAGAGATCAAAATCTAAACATTAACCTATGGTGAGAGACTATCCATCTTGGAAGCATTAAAGAGGGGAGGGATGGTAATTTGGAACTGTAAAATAGAGCTCCTTGAAACTTCTACTACAGTGCAAAAGCAGAAGCAGCAGAAAGTGTCCACTTTTAACCACACAGACAATGACCTCACTCCTGAATGAAGGAGGACACTGGCATTTGCAGTCCCTCCGGGGGAGGAGTGGAATTTGCCAAGTTGGCATTTAGCCAAAATGATGGAGTAAAATCCCTGAAGCCCTCACTCATGTTGACGTGGAAATCGAGCAGAGAAAGATTCAAAACATGACATAACTTAATGACACTTAAAGTTCTATCTACGTCACCCAGTTGGTGGGGGAGGGGGATCATACACATATTGGGAAAAATGCTCAAGTGCTAGGATGGCAGCATGAACAGCATTTGGGAACTTGTTAGAAGTGTGCATTCTCAGTCCCCACCCTAGACCTACTGAAGCAGAAACTGTGGTGTGGAGCCCAGCCATCCTCCCTCACCAGGTGATTTTGACGCACACCAAGGTATGAAGAGCCCTGCATTAGAGTCACCTAGGGAGCTTCTGAAAATAGCAATTCCTGGGCCCCATTCTTGACTTCTGGTCAATGTTATAAAGTGGAACCCTAGGATTCTTATTTTTAAAAGCTCCCAGGTAATCCGGAGACATAAGCAGAAATAGGCACAGAATCCAAAGAAAATAAATGTTAACAATGAGAACATTTAAAGGCATTATGTATTGGATGTGTGAATTTTACAAGTACAATCTAAGATTAAACGATGGCCTCTCTTCTGAGTTGAATGACTTTGGGCAAGCTACTCGCCAGCCTACTTCTCCTCATTTGTAAAATACACATATTTTAGGGTTGTGAAAGTTGAATGATAATAAATTCTTGGTACAGTGTCTGGTACATAGTAAGCACTAAATAAATGAGGTCAATTTTTATTAATCTCCTAATAACAATAAAGAAAAGCTAACTCATGTAGAATCCTGTTATACCAAGTGGCACAGGTTGGGGTACAGGAGGGAGACCCTCCAGCATCTTTGAAGCTTTCTTACTCCCTTGTGTCCTGTTGTCCATGAGAATATGCTCTTTCAGGGAAATGTAACATCCTCTAATTATGCTGCCTGGCAAAAATCAGGTGCAAAAAAGGGCCTGGAAGACTGCGTACGGAAAAATGGGGCAGCAGTGTGAGAGTATTCTGAAACAACGCGAAGACAGAAATAGCAGCGCCGACAGAGTTGCAGGTACTAACAGGAAATCCACACTTCCAGGAAGGGTGAGCCAACTGACATGGGGAAGAATTGTTCATTCTCTCTGGCCTTCTGTGTGCAGAAAGGAGACAGGTGAGAGTCAGAAGAACAGACTGGCAACAGAGGATGGAGGCCTACGGCTGAACAGAAATGGGCAATTCTTGCTGAAATCCAGATGAGGAGAATTGCATTCTACTCTGGTTTTTTTTGTTTCTTTGTTTGTTTGAGACGGAGTCTGGCTCTGTCGCCCAGGCTGGAGTGTAGTGGCATGATCTCGGCTTACTGCAACCTCTGCCTCCTGGCTTCAAACTATTCTCCTGCCTCAGCCTCCTGAGTAGCTAGGATTACAGGTGCCTGCCACCACGCCTGGCTAATTTTTGTATTTTTTAGTAGAGATGGGGTTTTGCCATGTTGGCCAGGCTGGTCTCAAACTCCTGACCTCAGCTGATCTGCTGCCTCGGCCTCGCAAAGTGCTGGGATTATAGGCATGAGCCACCGTGTCCAGCCTCTGGCTGTTTTTTTAAGCAATTATTTCCACTAAGGTGAGAAACCAGCACACTTCAAGCACTTTTTTTCCTCTTCCTGCTGGAAATTTGTAAATCTATTTTCCAAGGATGATGATGTGGGATGTTTGGGTCTACATATCTGTGTTTTGGCAGTTCTTTCTCTATGAAATACCCTTCTCTATTCTTCACAAGGCTAACCTCTCTACTCCTTCTGGAAGCAATTCAGGGGTCACCTACTCCAGGAAGGCAATCCTGAATGCTTACCTGTTTCACACCCAGAGTTGTGGTAGTTAGGCCCCCCTCATTATTGCCATAACACCTAACATATAATTGTCATGTTGCCTTAAATCAGTGTTTCCCAGAGGAGTTTAAAAAGATGTTAAAAGGTATTATTTGAAAGAAGCTATTTGTGCAAATAAATTTAGGAAATGTAAAGTTGAACAAAGTACACAGGTTTCTGTGATGTAACAATTGGGACTTTAATATGCTGGTGTGCACTGAGAATCTCTAAGGAAATATCACATATGAATCCCCAACCTGATTTGATTGTAGACATTTTTTTAATCAATCTAGTAACCACATTTTATTTATTTATTTGTTCATCTATTTTATTTTTTTTTAACTTTTATTTTAGGCTCAGGGGTACATGTGCAGGCTTGTTACACAGGTAAACTGCGTGTCACATTAGTTTGGTGTGCAGATTATTTCATCACCCAGCTGATAAGCATAGCACTCTACAGGTAGTTTTTCGATCCTCACCCTCTTCCCAACCTCTACCCTTAAGTAGGCCCCAGTGTCTACTGTTCTCTCCTTTGTGTTCATATGTACTTGGTGTTTAGCTCCCACTTACCAGTGAGAATATGCAGTATGTGGTTTTCTGTTCCTGCATTAGTTTGCTTAGGATAATGGCCTCCAGCTCCATTCATGTTGCTGCAGAGGACAAAATCTTATTCTTTTTAATGGCTGTGTAGTATTCCAGGGTATACATGTGCCATATTTTCTTTATCCGGTCCACTGTTGATGGGCATCTAGGTTGATTTCATGTCTTTGCTATTTTGAATAGTGACACAAAAAATAAAAATATCTAGGAATACAGCTAACCAGAGAGGTGAAAGATCTCTACAACGAGAATTACAAAACACTGCTGAAAGAAATCAGAGATGACACAAATAAATGGAAAAACATTCCATGCTCATGGAAAGGAGGAATCAATATTATTAAAATGGCCATACTGCCCAAAGTAATTTACAGATTCAATGCTATTCCCATCAAACTGCCAATGACATTTTTCACAGAACTAGAAAAAACTATTCTAAAATTCATATGGAACCAAAAAAGAGCCCGAATAGACAAAGCAATCCTAAGCACAAAGAACAAAGCTGGAGGCACCACATTACCTGACTTCAAACTATATTCCAAGGCTACAGTAACTAAAACAGTATGACACTAGTACAATAACAGACACATAGATCCATGGAAAAGAATAGAGAGCACAGAAATAAAGCCACACACCTACAACAATCTGATCTTCAACAAAGTTGACACAAACAAGCAATAAGGAAAGACCCCTCCCCCCAATTCAATAAATGGTGCTGGGATAACTAGCCATATGCAGAAGATTGAAACTGGACCCCTTCCTTATACCACATATAAAAATCAATTCAAGATAGATTAAAGACTTAGATGTAAAACCTAAAACTATAAAAACCCTAGAAGAAAACCTAGGAAATACAATTAGGTATTATATACCTAATTGTATACCATATATAAAAATCATATATAAAATCAATACTCCATATATAAAAATCAATTCAAGATAGATTAAAGACTTAGATATAAAACCTAAAACTATAAAAACCCTAGAAGAAAACCTAGGAAATACCATTCTAGACATAGGCTCTGGCTAAGATTTCACGATGAAGATGTCAAAAGCAATTGCAACAAAAGCAAAAATTGACAAATGGGGCCTAATTAAACTAAAAAGCTTCCACACAGCAAAAGAAACTATCAATAGAGTAAACAGTCAACCTACAGAATAGGAGAAAATATTTGCAAACTATGCATCCAACAAAGGATTAATACCCAGAATATTTAAGGAATTTAAGCAAATTAACAAGCGAAAAATAACCCCATTAAAAAATGGGGAAATAACATGAACACTTTTCAAAAGAAGACATACAACCAACAAACATATGAAAAAGTGTTAATCATTAGAGAAATCAAAATCAAAATCACAATGAGATACCATCTCACATCAGTCAGAATGGCTATCATTAAAAAGTCAGAAGATAACAGATACTGGTGAGGTTGTGGAGAAAAGGGAATGCCTATACACTAGTGGTGTGAATGTAAATTCATTCAGCCATTGTGGAAAGCACTTTGGTGATTTCTCAAAGAACTTAGAGAACTTCTTTCTCAAAGAACCATTTTACCCAGCAATCCCATTAGTAGGTATATACCCAAAGGAATATAAATTGTTCTACTATAAAGAATTTTTGTTTCCTAAAAATCACCTCTAGTACCCCAAAGTGTACACTGTGGAATATGCTGCTATATTTTTCTGGCACTCTCTGCTCTTTCTTCCTCACCAGACCATAATTTCCTTGTGGGCAACAGTATTACATATTGCATTTCTGGTATCTACAACCTACCATCTGCTATACAGTAGATACAAAGTGAAAGCCAACAGAATGTTAAAAAGTAAAATCATCATTTCCCTTTGAAACCCCTCTAGTGGCTTTCTGTATACCTAGGAAAGCTTTGGCTGCTTTACTCCAAGGCTCACAAGGTTCTGCATTTTTTACACCTCTTACCCCATCACTTGTCCTTCCCCTTCCTCAGTACATTCTGCTAAACTGGTCTTTTCTATCTTCTCAAACATGCCAACCTTATTCCCAGCCCTGGGCCTCTGCTCCTGCTGTTGCTTCTGCCAGGAACACTCCTGCCCACATGTTCACACTGATTAGGCCATCTCCACATTGATGTCACAACTCTGAAGTCTCCTCCTTAGAGAAGCCTTCCCTACCCACATTTCAGCCAGCACTTTATTTCCATCATAACAATTAGCCACATTTGCATTTGTCTTGTTTATGTATATACTTGCTTACTGTCTGGTTTCTCCATCTCACATGGTAATGTGATGTAACCTTACTGTCTTGCTTACTGCTACCTTCAAGAGTGCTGGAATGAAAAAGGTGTTCTAATGCTGGCTAATGAAAGAATGAATCGAACTGATCTATGTATCACAGCAGATACAAACCCTGCCTTCCTCCCAGAACTGAATCAAACCCTAGGCTGCCAATGACTAGATCTGTGACCAGGGCAAGTGATTTAGCCCTAAAAAGGCTCATCTTAGCTGTAAACTAAGAAATAATAGATTTAATTTTAAGCAACACATTGAATACATTAATTAGTCTCTATCTCCCCCAAGAAGAGAATAAAATAAATGTAAAGTGGAATTATTTTTCATTGTTTTTAAAAATTTTTTAATTGTGGTAAAATATATGTAAGATAACATTTACTATCTTAACTGTTTTTATGCATACAATTCAGTTGTATTAAGTACATTCACACATCATGAAATCATTACAACCACCCATTTCTAGAACATTTTTCATCTTGCAAAACTGAAACTCTATATCCATTAAACACTAACTTCTCCTTTCCCCCTTCCCCCAAATCCCTGGTAACTATCATTCTACTTTCTATCTCTATGAATCTGACTACTCTATGTATCCCATATAAGAAGGATCATACAGTATTGGTCCTTTTGTGACTGCCTTATTTCATTTAACATAGTATCTTCAAGATTCATCCATGCTATAGTATGTGTCATAATTCCCTCCCTTTTTAATGCTGAATCATATTCTGTTATGTGTATATATCACATTTTATCAGTTCTGCCACTAATGAACACTTGGTTTGCTTCCACATTTTAGCTATTGTGAATGATGCTTTTATTAACGTGGGTGAACAAACATGTATTTGAGTCCTTGCTTTCCATTCTTTTGGGTATATGGCCAGAAATGAAATGCTGGATCATATGGTAATATTGTTTGTAACTTTTTGAGGAACTACCACCATGTTTTACAGCAGCCACACCATTTTACATTCCCACCAACACTGCACAAGGTTTCCAATTTCTCCACATCTTCACCAACACTTACTTTCTGTTTTGTGTGTGTGTGTGTGTGTGTGTGTGTGTGTGTGTTTTGTTTGGTAATAGTAGCCATCCTAATGAGTATGACATGGAAGAGGTATTTTTTTAAAATATACAAACCCATCAAGACAAAAATATGACAGAAAATAATAGCAGCAACAAAATCATGAAAGTTAAAAAGTAAAAAGATAAATGGTAACCAATTTAACAATTTGAAGCAACCTGAAGCCTTAATTGATTGTGACAAAAGCTAAAAAGTAACTCAATTTGCCTTATAGAACCCCAAAGTGCTTAGGAATTTGGTGGCAGATGATATCTCTAGAAGTGAGAGTAAAGAGGGACTGAAAATAGTAAAACTGGCTGAAAGCCTGTTTAATAAAAAGGCAGACTCAGTACTGACTTGACACTGGTGTGACCATCCCTTTTGTCAACTTGGCAAAAGACTCGAGGTTTATTACCTGGAAAGGAAAAACAGAAGGCATCTAGATAGTGGATACCAGGCAGCTGAAAGTAAAAAAGTTAAAGTGAAAAAGGAGGATTTAGTGAAAGTTTTCATAATATCTACTGGAGTCATCTAGTCTCTTTCCTATGCTAGCCCCTTGAACTCCAGCAGCCAGGCTTTATTTCTGCAATTAGATATTGAAAGATTGAAAGTTTTGCTCTGGGGATGTTAATTAAACTAATAGAAAAAAATCCAAAAATACTGGCAGAGGATTTCCCCTTCTAAACAAGCCATCCAGATCACCGTACAAGTACAAACCACTGTTGATAAGCCTTATGCATGTATAGAGTTCCCAGTCATCTTTTTAGTACCCCATTCTCAAGCATGAAACAGACAGCCAAGGATCACCTTATCATCTGAAGAGAGCCCCTAATATGAAAGACAGAAACCCAAATAAGCAAACAGATTAAAAAGTTAATGGAAATTTGGAGGAAATGAAGGAAACAGACTACTGAGAGAGATGTAAGCTCTCTTGATGGACGCATTATAGTGGGGTACCAGACAATAAGTACATAAATAAATGAACAATAGTTATTAACAAAATGATAGGAACAGAAGTGAAAGGTAATCTGATAACTGGCTCTCAAACAATTGAGACTTGAGATATTAGCTTTATCACCCTAAATATATTGTCATTTTCTTACAGAACTCCAGAGCCAGAAGGATGATATCTCAACAAATGACAGAGCCCAATTCATTGACTCCAATAAGAACGACACGCGTCTATTATAACTTTACAAGATGGAAAGTACATACAGAAAAATTTTGAAGTTTTAAGAGTTAAATCTTATAGTCCTATATGAAAGAATGGATCAGCAAATTCAAATATTCATATCTTATTGGGCTCTATTTCCTGTATTTTTCTCACATGCCACTCTTTTAAAATAGGTATCTATGTATGTGTCAACAACCTTTGAATAAGCCAGAGCAACTAGGCAAGAAAAAAAAAAAAGAACAGCTAAACTGGAAAGAAGGAAGTCAAATTATCCCTGTTTGTAGATGACATGGTCACATATATAGAGAAACCTAAACATTCTACCAAAAAAACTCTTAGAATTGATCAACAAATTCAGTAAATTTTCAGGATACAAAATTGACATGAAAAATCAGTAGCATTTTTATACATGAACAACAAACTAGATGAAAAACAAAGCAAGAAGGCAATCCCATTTACAATAGCTACAAAAATAATTAAATACAATAATGTAACCAAGGTAGTAAAGATCTCTACAAGGAAAACCACAAATGAGAGAAACTAAAGAGGATAAAAATAAATGGAAAGACATTCCATGCTCATGCATCAGAATAATTAATATTATTAAATGACCATACTACCCAAAGCAACCTACACACTCAACGTAATCCCTATCAAAATACCAATGACATTCTTCACAGAAATAGAAAAAAGCCTTAAAATTTGTATGGAACCACAAAAAACACAATGCCAAAGCAATATTAAGCAAAAAAGAAAGAAGAAAGAAAAAAAGAGAGAAAGAGAGAAAGGAAGGAAGGAAGGAAGGAAGGAAGGAGGGAAGGAGGGAAGGAAGGAAGGAAGGAAGGAAGGAAGGAAGGAAGGAAGGAAGGAAGGAAGGAAGGAAGGAAGGAAGGAAAGGAAAGGAAAGGAAAGGAAAGGAAAGGAAAGGAAAGGAAGCAAGCAAGCAAGCAAGCAGGCTGGAGGCATCACATTTTCAGACTTCAAAGTATATTACAAAGCTTTAGTAACCAAAACAGTAACAGCACAGTATTGGCAGAAAAACAGACACACAGACCAATGGAAAAGAACAGAGAACACAGACTTTAATCCACCTATCTACAGCCAACTGATTTTTGAAAAAAGCACCAACAGCATTCACTGGGCTTTGAAAGGACAGTCTTGTCAATAAATGGTGCTCAGAAAACTGGATATCTATGTGCAGAAGAATGAAGTTAGACTCCCAACTCTTACTCTATGCAAAAAACAACTCAAAATGGATCAAAGACCTAAACACAAGACCTGCAACTATAAAACTACTAGAAGAAAACATAGGGGAAATGCTTCAGGATATTGGCCAGGGAAAATATTTTATGAATAAGATCTAAAAAGCACAGGCAACAAAAGAAAAAATTTTTAAAAAGGGAATTATGTCAAACTAACAAGCTTCTGCACAGCAAAGGAAACAATCAACACAGTGAAAATTCAACCTATAGAATGGGAGAAAATACTTGCAAACTATTCATTGGTCAAGACATTAATATCCAGAATACACAGAGAATTCAACCATTGGTACAGGAAAAAAACAACCAACCTGATTTAAATATTGGCAAATGGTGACTCACGCCTGTAATCTCAGAGACTTAGGAGGCTGACACTGGAGGATTGCTTGAGGCCAGGAGTTTAAGACCTGCCTGGGCAATATAGCAAGACCCTGTCCAAAAAAATTTTTTTTAATTAGGTGGGTATGGTGGTGTGCATCTGTAGTCTCAGCTACTTGGGAAGCTGAGGTGGGAAGATCACTTGAGCCCAGGAGTTCAAGGCTGCAGTGAGCTATGACTGTGCCACTGCACTACAGTCTAGGCAACACAGTGAAATCCCGTCTCCTAAAAATAAATTTTTTAAAAAAGGCAAATGATCTGAACAGATATTTCTCAAAAGAAGACATATAAATGGACAACAAAAATATGAAAAAATGTTCAATATCACTAATCATCAGGGAAATGCAAATCAAAACCATAATGAGATATCATCTTATCCCAGTTAGGATAGTGATTATCAAAATAAGACAAAAAATTAACATGCTGGTGAAGATGCAGAGAAAAAGGACTCTTACACTATTGGTGGGAATGTAAACTAGAAGAGCCATTATGGGGAACAGTATGGAGGTTCCTCAAAAAACTACAAACAGAACTAATATATGATCCACTGATCCCACCACTGGGGCATTTATCCAAAGGAAACAAAATCAGTATACCAAAGACATATCTTTACTCCCATTTACTGCAGCACTGTTCACAATAGCCAAGATATGAATCAGCCTAGGTATCCAATAATAGATGAATGAACAAAGAAAATGTGATATACATACACAATGGAATACTATTCAGACATAAAAAAACAACAAAATCCTGTCATTTGTAGCAATATGGATGGAAATGGAGGACATTATATTAAGTGAAATACGCCAAGAACAGAAAGTTAAACACTGCATATTCTTGCCCACATGTTGAAGCTAAAAAATGTTGATCTCATAGAAGTAAAAAGTAGAGGATATTAGAGGCAGAGAATGGTAGAGGGAAGAGGGGAAGAGGGAGAGATTTATTAAAAAACACAAAATTACAGCTAGATGCGAGTAATAAGTTCTAGTATTCTATACCACTGTAGAATAACTATAGTTAACAATAATATATCCTTTCAAATACCTAGGAGGATATTGAATGTTTCTAGCACAAAGAAATGACAAATGTTTGAGATGATGGATATGCTAATTACACTGACCCGATCACTACACATTATATGTACTGTGACATCACTATGTACCCCCTAAATATGTATAAAACGTCAATTAAAAATAAAAAATTATTTTTTAAAAATAACCTCCAAATATTCTTAGCCTTTTAAGTATCTAGACAATTCACAAAAGAAGATATACATGAATAACATATAAGGAAAAAGCTCAACCTCACTAAGAGTTAATAAGATAGAAATTAAAACAGAAAGGACATGCTATTTTCCATTGCTTTATAATCTTATGGACTGTTGGAAATGCAATTTGGCAAAATCTTCCTGGAAAGAAACTTGACAATATACACCAAGAGCCTTAAAAATTTATACCTTTTGACTTGGTAAATCCATTACTGGAATCCATCCTAAGGAATAACATAAAATGCTGACAAGGTATGTATACAAATACAACAAAATAGAAGAAATCAGAAAAAATTTAAATGATACAAGAAAAGTGTTGTTTTAAAAATCGTTACACAGTAAATTAAAAGCTGTATATTTGAAGAGTTTTAACAACATGCATATAAAGTATTTCAATTGTGTAAAGTAATGATACATATATAGTATGAATATATCAATACAGTATAAATTTTATTATAGATACATATAATATATATAATATATACATAATACATATTTATATATAATATATACATAATACATATATATACACACACATATACACATACATCAAAAAGACAGAAAATATACAAAAAATTAGCCATCTCTTGGAGGTAAATGCTGGATGAAATACTTTTATGTATTTTCTAAGTTTTTTACACTTAATATGCATTAAGTATCACCTGAAATAAAAATCTATTTTAAAGAGTTTGTATTTTTTACTTAGTAATTCCATTTCTGCGAGTCTGTCAGATGCAGAAAATAAAAAGGTTCCCTGCAGTATTTTTGTGTATTTGTACCATAATATTTACATACTAGAGAAAAAAAGGTAAACATTTAAGTGTCCAACCTTAATAGAAGGCTTAAAAATATCATTACAGCATTCAATAAAATATTATGGCATTATTAAAATTATGCTTCTAAAGAATATCATGAAAATATGAATATGCAATAATGTCACCTTAAAACTGCAGACTACACACTGGCATATACGGCATGGTTTCAACTGCGTTAAAATGGCACAAAAAAAGGCAAAGTGAACTAAAATTGTTTTGGGGTACTGTATCAGAGTGCTGAAATTGTTTTTCTGCTTCATTCACTTTCTGGCTTTTCTTTAGTTGTTTTTACTTTTAGATGCTTTTGAAGATAAAAGAAAAAATTAAAACAAAGATGATGCTTTTAGGATTGTGAAAGAGCCTCAGTTAGTTGGGCTGAGGAGGAGCCTTGGGGCAAGGGGGAGGGGGTGGGAGTGGGAGCGGTGAGAAGAGCATTTAGAGGTAGGGGAGCTTAAGGAGGTGATGAGTTAAGGTGGTCCAAAGCTCCTCAGGCCCCCAAAGAGATCAAGTATTTCTGGATAATCATCAGTTTCAGGGGTTTCTGTATCAGAGAAGCACCAGCCCAGGCAGGTTTTAGCTCCACCCTAAGCTTAACTGAGTGCCTCAGCAACTACAGATCTTAATGCTGAGTAACTGAGAAAGAAGTTGGGTGGATCTTCCTGAAGGCGGGTGAGAAGAAAGCCACAACAATGTCTAGGACAGAACTGCTTGGAAAGACTGTGTGCCAGGTACCATGCAGGTGCTGGGCCACAGCAGGTAATGAGATGGACATGGCCCCTGCCCTCATGGAATGTATAATCTGGCAGGCACATTTAACCCATAATTACAATCCATGAAAAATTCAAATGTGATAAGTGTTATAATAGGAAGTGAAGATCTGTAGTTTGCAGAGATAGACACACACAGTCAACTGTACATAGGCTTCAGGAAGCAAATGAAGGAGATGCAGAGAGAAATTAAACAATATAAATAATGCAAGTGATTTATTTCACCATCCTACACAGGGAGCTCAACCCGAGAATGGAGTGTAAATCAGCTCTTCCCTGGGTTGGCTTCGGTTTCTATTTTCTTTTAGTGTGAATATCTCCTTTTGCTACATCTGACCCTAATACCTCCACTATGTACAGTTCTATATACACTGAAAAACCTCAGGGGTGTGTCACTCCCATCATGGTCTATGTACATGAGACTCCTTGGAGTGTATAACCTATAGCTTGGCTACATGTAACCTAGATTTTTTTCATACAACCTAGACTTTAAAATAGGACAGCTATCTCGAACAGGGAAAAAAGAAATACCGGAATTAATGTGTTAGACTTACTGGAGATAGCTTATCAGTTTCCACTGTGGAGATAGCTCCCTCAGGGATTTTCAAGGATTCTCTTGGCTGATTCACTGCTCACAGTATGCACTGACTTTGGAACCATATCCTCCATTTTGATGGGATTTCACCACACAGTAGAGCAAGTAAGTGGGATGTGGTCTACTTAGGAGAGACTCCATATAGGTCATGTCATTTTTTTCTGAGACCAGGAGGATAAGAAGGTAGCTAGGATGAAAGGCTGGGAAAGCATCCCAAGCTGACAGGTAGGTAGCTGTGTGTAGGACCCAAGACAGGGGAGCACAGACGGTGTTCCAGGAACTAGCCCTGTTAGCCCTGGGGCAGAGAAAGCCAGAAGGGGGAAGAGCCTAACTTCCCATCACCTCCCCAAATCTTACCAACTACAAGACTCCTTCAATTACTGGCACAACCAACATGAACCAAAGCACTCACCATGTGTCCCTGAATCCTTTAGATGCCAAAGCTCCCCTCCTCTTTTGATTCAAAACATTTATTTCTGCCTGCTCACAGGGCACTTAACATGCATTGCCACTTGGTTCCAGGGATGTTCACTGGTTGCTAGCCACATATCAAGCACCAAGAACCCTCCTGGATGTAGTGACATTGTGGTTCTGCATTTCCCTTGCTGTTCCTTGGCTCTTCTTAAGTGTTCAGGCCTTGTCTCCTTGACCAACGCATGGTCTCCCTCTGGGTGCGCTGTCATTCACACATCTGTGTGTCTGGCACAGTGCCAGGCTCAGAATGGATACTAAACAATGGTGAGGTATTGTCCCATGCCTCTTATTAGTGTTAAGTCTGAGGCACAGGGGCTCTAAGTGATGTGCCAGAGGCCAACTAACATAATTAGCAACAAGTCTAGGAGACAGGTATCCTACATAGGGAAAAGTTGGAGTTTAGGTCCAGTTTTACTTGTTTTTAGAATGTTGTCAAGTCACTTCATCACAGTGATTTACAGAAAGTTTAAGAGATAGACTGAAGATTTTAACTCCTGGCTTGGCTGTATGATCTTGGGCAAGTTATTTAACCTCTCTGTGACTGACCATCTGTAAAATGGGGGTAAGTCTCTTAGAAAGACTGTTGAATGAGTTATGTGAGCTATTACAAATAAAGATCTTAGAACAGTTCCTAGTAAATAGTAGGTGCTCAATAATGATAGCTAAACTTACTACCTTAATTTAACTGTTGTTTTCCCAAACCTTATGAGTCACCATTTTTATTAGTTATGATTAAGTGTAGCTACAAATCTACAAAACAGTGATTTTCTAATAAAGCAAAAACAACAGCAAAAACAAATAAACAAATTTCCTACTCATACAAACAAAGTCCAGAGGTAGTGAATCCAAGGCTGGTATGGAAGTTCCACAAAAGCTCACTGTTCTGCCATCCCTGGAGTATGGCGTCTGTCCCCCTTATCCAAAGTCACTGCTAACCTACCTGACCAGCCAATCTACCTGACCCAGGGGAGGGAAAGAGGATGGCCACTGCCTGATCTCCTTAAAGGAGACGTCTCAGGAATCCCACAGGACACATCTGCTTATACCTCATTGGCCAAAACTTAGATGAACATGTGTAGCTGCAAAGGGAGCTGGGAAATGTAGTCTATAATGAAAGACCCTGATGTACCCTAAAAGCCTAAGTTTTGTTAATAAAAGGGATGACAGTGTAGATTAGATGGGCATTCAGCATTCTCTGGACTACTGGTAACATGCCACTAGCTAGTGAGAAAGTTCAGAAGTTGATTCCAGTCCTATCCTATTTTATTCAAAGCTTTGGGGTTCACAACAAATCAAAGGACATTTTCCAAGCACATTTTCTCAAGATCTATAATCCTGCCTCCTCTACTTTAATTATTTTGAAAGCACATCCCCCCTATGGGTGTGATTCACTCTAAATTATTGAAAAATTGATTTTTTAAAAAGATGTCTGCAGGCCAAGATTTTTGAACCATTTTAAAGAGCTGGAAAAATAATAAAACCACTCTTTCTTTTGAAGAATAGAATCATGTTTTTTAGAAAAGAGAGAAAAAAAACTGAATGCTAAAATTAATGTGTCTACATATTCCTTAGTGATGGATAACCTATCTTTTATAAGTCTCTGACTTACAAAGAAATATAAAAGCCCATACTCTCATCACTTATCATGGTGAATTTTATTTGAAAACACACATTATTTACTTCATATTAATTATGGATTATCAATAATCTGAGTACTTTTTATTACCAAATCTTTTAAAATAATGCAAGTGAGAGTGACTCTTCATGGAGGCATTATTTACTGATGCATTTTTCCAATCACAAGGATATATAATGAGGCTCATAAAAAAGTCATGTCTGTGATTGAAAGTCCCTTTCAAATAAACATTACAGTCCTAAACAAATGCACTTTTTACACCCTGGCAAGCTTACCAGATTTCTACTGCATCACAGAGACAGTCCACAAGAAGGTATTCCTTTAAGGCCCATGGAAAGAAGATGATAGAGTAGGTGGACCATAATAGAAAAGGGAGCAGGGAGAAAGATGATATAAGGGAGAATGCAGAAGACATATCGGATCTGGCCCTGTTCAGTGAGATGAGTCAGAAAACCAGGAAGCCAAATGAGTCAGCACCATCCCTATGAAAAATGCAGGGATTGAAATGACTGGAGATCTAATTTACTGGTAAAAAGCATGAGATTTTGGAGTCAGGCCTGCTTTTGAATTCCTGTTCCTCCATCAAATAACCATGAGACTTTGGGACAGTTATCTACCCTCTGTGAGCTTCAATTTCCATATCTGTAAAAGGAAGATAATAATGGTACCTGTACCTCATTGGTTACTGGGGAAGTTTACCTGCTAATTCATGTACAATGTTTGGCGACAGTCCCTGGCATATAATGCACACTCAACAAATGATAACCATTATCAGTACACTATTTCCTTTCCCTATTTTTTTTACAGTAGACATCTTCCCTTCAAGACCCCTGCTTCCTTCATCTTTTATTTTTTTTCAAGAAGCCAAACTGTTAGGAGAAGGGGTGGGAGTAGAGAAGACAGTCTGAATTCATCTCCCCAGGACTTCTCATTTCACTGAAGTTGGAATAACAGTGAGGAAATTGCTTTAGACAAGGGTTTCTGCTTTTGCTGTTGATTTAAACTGTCACCATAGGCTAAAAATGAAAATGCAAATTTTGAACAAAGCTAAGTTTTCATCTAGGGCAGGAAGGAAATGCTTAGGTTGGTAAAAAATAAATGAAAATGCCACTTACTGACCTGTCCCAATAAAGAAATACCTCAAAAAGCTAAGAACAGAATCGAACTAGATACAGAGAATAGACAATTTATGACTTAAGACCACAGTAGAAAATAGTCCTGTTTAGGAAAAGTTTGAAGTCATAATCACAAATCCTAGAGAAGTATTTTATTCTCATAGGTCTCAGCACTTCCCTTTTAGTAATAACAATAAATTAATCATCTGTTTTCTCCATAGTTGATAGGCATCTCGCAGGCAGGGGCTGAGTATCTTCACATGTGCTATCTCCAGTATGTAGCACAATATCTGCAAAGGGTATACTCAGTAAATATTAGTCTGGCAAATGAGTTAATAAATACAGGAAGGAGTGATTTTCATCAGCATTTTCCTCCATTCATGTTGAGAATTTTCCTGGCTAACCAACAAACTTGGCAAAAGTAGTAGGAAAGTCACTCCATGAAGAAGCAGTATTTTTGGTCACACACCAATGAAGTATGGCAGGTTGCTGACCCTCCAGGATGTAACAGCTGGAAGACACTGAGAGATCATCTACTCCAATGGATCTCAAAGTGTGGCTGGGAACCACCACTTGGGAACTTATTGGAAACACCAGTTCTTAATCGCTCCAGAGAATTTCTGATTTAGAAACTCTAAGCAGGCCCAGGAATCAGTGTTTTAAGAATCCCCCCAGGTGGTTCTGACGTATGCTCTGGTTTGAGAATCACTGAATTCAATCCTCCTCAGTTCACAGAGTAGAAAATGGGGCCCAAAAAGGAAATGTCAGTTAAGTTTGTTGATCTGAAGATCAACTTTTGTAATAACTAGATAATTTTAAAAGTGCCAAATTTACAACCTCTTAGCTTTGTGATGTTATTTCACCTCTCTGAGCTTCAGTTTCCTCACCTATAAAATGAGAAGAACAATGGCACTTCATGGTAATTATAATAATCAAGTGATACTATATATAAAAGACACAGAATATGGTGTTTATATATATATATATATACACACAGACACACACACACACATATGTATATATACACACACAGACACACACACACACACACACATATATATACACATAGACACACATATATAAATCTGTAATTCTCTGTGGGAAATAATAGTCAAGATTCTTATGTCCAAAAACTGTTTATATATATATAAATATGCAGCCTCTTAGATAAGTGGTCATTTTTGCTGCGGCAAAAACTTGCTTGAAAGTGAAAACATTTGTCCATGATTCATATAATTGTGCTTGAGGTTACAGTTTGCTACCATGAAGGCTACAGGCTTCATTTTAGGTTTGTGTCTGGCAAGCCCGAGCCCACAGGAGGTTCTAAACATCAGGCTGGTTTTTGAAATAATTCCAGGGTGACCTAAGCCACTAAAAGAGGACTCAGCTGGTGATAAAAGGATCTTGGTAAACATGATCATCAACTTGACAAACACATTTGTTTGGAGATATATAACCCTTAGTCTGTACCCCTATAAACTGAATTTTCAGAATAGCTTAGTATACCCAAGAGAATACAGATCTTGTTCACCATCTGGTTATTAGATACCCTGTCTTCCTGTACTTGCATAGCTGGGTTGATGATGGCATGGGGAAATAAATCAGTCACACTGGTCAAAAAGTAGTTAGCAAAGTCCTGAACTAGTATTCACAATGTCAGGAAATAGGATTCTATAAATCAGACTTTCTTTTCATGTCGGTTTTTATAAGATACTCTGTGAAATAGATCCAAATACATACACATTCCCATGGGTAAACATGTGTTTCTTCATATACACTGGGGTAAGATAAAGTGGGGCAGTGTACCCCTTAGAAAGTCTCTGTCTTACCAAGTCAGAAATCTGTTCAGTTTAATCTCTTACTTAGACCGCTGGCCTTGCAAATACAATACCTAAAATAATGACATTGTACAACGGTATGTCTCAGTTAAACTGCTGATGGGTCTGGCATTATGAAAACAGAACCTGCAGGAATCGGTACCTAGAGACTTCCATGTTGACAGCTAAAGAGTCAACAGAACCCTGAGGCTAAATAGGTGATTCATTTTTACAAAACAGATTTCTTGGTTTCCACGTTTTTTATAAATATGCCCTTTTACTCCCCTCTTGATTCCCACATGTCATAATTCTGATGAGAAGAGTATTTGCTGAAGAATAGGGACATGCATTCAGGAAGAGAGAAAGCACTCGCACAGGGCCACAAAGGACCACTGGGAGAAGATGAGACCCAGGTTGGATGGGGCTCCAGCTCAGCCACAAATTAATGGTTCTAATTATTTAATATTCCTGGGCCTCAGTTATCTTACTTATGACACAGGGTTGATGCTCCCTAATGTTTCTTTCTAAGTACTAACATTCTAAAATTTTTAAAAATTTAAAGAACTCTATAGGGGAAAGAAAAGGCAAATTGGACCATATTCAATTTGGATCACATCATTTCCTTGTTTAAAATGTTTTAACAGTTCCCTGATGCCTAATGCAATAGTTTCTAAACATTTTGACTGTGCAAGTCACTAAGAAAAAAGTCTTCAGATGGACTCCCAACATAGCTATTACTTATAAATTGTATATAATGTACTATTGAACTTATAAATTATATGTGTGTATGTCAAGATGCATACCTAAAAATAGAATTTAAACAAAATGAAATAAAAATGGAGATAAATAAAAATACCAACATTTTTGTCTATACCCAGTAGACCATCTTGCTTGACATCACCTGGCATATAAGACCTCATTTAGAGGCTAACACACGGGATGAAGTTTAAGTTCCTCAGCTGGAATAGAAGGGCATTATGATTTTTTGATCCCTGCCTACTTCTCTGTTTCCTCCCTCCCTTTTCCCTGCCTCAAACTCAGTGTTCCAGCACCTTCTTCCCACATCATATTGCTCAGCACTAAACTGTATTCATGCTGTCACTTCTGTCAGCATCTCCTTCACTCAACTCTTCACCTAGAAAACACTTCCTCATTGAAGGTGGGACTCCAGGTTGCTTACCTAGTGCCCCTCCTCCTCTTCTTTTTAAATAACACAACTCTCATTTTATTGAAGGCTGAAATGTGACTGGCAAAAAATGGACCTTTCCCCAGCTTCCCTTGCAGGTAGTAGTATGTAATACGGTTCTGGCCATTGACATGTAGGCAGAAGAGACCGAGTGAGGTTTCAGAGTTAACACTGGAACAGAAGCAAAGTCCATACTTTTGCCCTTTGTCCTTGTCCTTCTTCCTGGAACATGGACTCGATACTGGAAGCAAAACAAGACCATGAGAGCAGATCTTGCGGTGAGAAGGGTGTCGTGTGCAGAAAACCAAAAGAGGGCAACTGAGGTCAGAGATCAATGAAAACAGTGGTGCCAGAAGGAGGGGAGACCATAATTCGGGTTTTTGGTTTTTGCCCTAAAAGCATTGGGAAGACTTGAGAAGGTTTATGCTGGGAGGTCACAGGATTAGATTAGATTTTCATTATAAAAAGTTCATGCTGGCTGCAGTGTTCAGGATGGACTGAAAAAGGCAAGTTTCCATTCAATGACAAGTGTTATAAGCCTGTTGAATAATCCAGTTGCGAGATTATGGGAACACAGGCTAGGTAGCATTTTGAGGTGGAAAGAGTTCATGAATTATAGACGTATTTGGAGCCTAAGACTGACAGCACTTGGTAACAGATTAGATACAGCATATAGAAAAGAGGGTGGTGTCAAGGACTTGCAGAACAGACTACTGCTATTCATTAAGATTAATAAAACAAAAGAACAACCCTTTCCTGTGTGCTTACAACCAGATGCTGAGTGCTGCTGGAGAAAATCACACCACAGGGCAGATTTATAATAAATTCATGGCGACCCCTAAGCAGGGTTCTGTGTACCGTTTGATAATCCTCCAAGATTTCTCTAATCATCTTTTCCCCGATCCTCTGTACTTCTATTTTAAACCTTTTCCATTTTTTACAGATTCTGACTCTCTCACTTGGCTACCACTCTGTCAGAAGATCATCTCACTTTTTACTTCACAAAGAAAACAGAAGCCTCATGAAGGGAAATCCCTTAACTTCCCACTTCCGAGCACATGCTGCTCCCATGAGCTGTACCATTTTTGTCTTCTTCCTACCTATTAAAATAGAAAGTCTGTATTCCAAGGCTAATCCTGCCTGTCTTCTCTGGACCCACAGTACTGATTCTCCCTTCTCTCTGGGTATCAGCAACCCATCACTCACTACTAGAATCTTCTTATCAGCAATCAGACATGCTCAAGCAAATCTCCATCTTCCAACAATCAATCAACCAAACAGTGGAACACTCTACCTATTTCCAACCGTCTTCCTCCCCTAGTGACCACCCCATCTCTCTCTCTCTCCCCCCACACTCTGACCAAATTTCTTGAGTTATCTAAACTTTCTGGCTTCATTTTCTCAACTGTGACTCTGAGTCCTGACACCTGTCTTGGCTTGAACCCAGCTATATGACCTTGGGTGATTAACTTCTTTATGCCTCATTTTTATCCTCTGTAAAAAATGGGAATGGGGTGAGATGACTACACATCTCATGTTGTTGTAATGTAACAGTCCACATTAAGCACTTGGCACAGCATCTGTGCTCAGTGTTAGCTGTGGCTGCTGTACGACTTTTATCTTCTGCCTCACTATTATAAGCAAGTGACTTTCACTAAGGTCCCCGAGTCACTATATCAAATGAACAGTGTCCAGTCCTTATCTCCCTTCCTTTTTCAGCATCCTTGGAGATTGTTCCCTCCCCTTGTAAAATCTCCTCATTATCTCCCTGCCCTTGGCAGGTACATCCTTAGCCTCCTTTGCAGGCACATCTTCCTCTACCTGGCCTCTAAAGTACTGAAATTTCTCTTCTCCCTCTAGAGTCTCTCACACATATCTATGGCTTCAAATATCATCTACACTTATGACTTCCAAATCTCTATTTCTAGCCTTTTTTCCTAGCATAGATCCAAATGTCTACTCTATGTTTTTATTTGGATATCTCAAAGGCACAAACTCATTATCTTGCCCTCTTTTATTTAATTATCCTCTGAAACATATTGTATCTGTATCTCTAATGCTTACTTATTCATTCATTTACCAAATATCTATTGAGTACCTACTATGTTCCAGACATATTTCTACATGCTATGTTATAAAATGTTTCAGACAGCTTATAACTAGTAGGCAAATATAAAATGAGGTAAGTGGGATCAAAGATTAAATAAACCAAACATGGGAACAAAATAAATTGAGGTGAGGTTATAGCTTTATACCATAGTTTATAAATCTACTATAGATGAGGCTTCAATATGCTGTCAATTCTCAAGCAACCAAAGGGGTGAGGGATATCTTGACAGTTACTCCACATGATACCCACGAGAGACAGAGAAAATAAAAGTAATTACTCAGAACAACTAAGAAAAACTAAAAATTATCTGGATATCCGGATAAGATAAGATTGTTCCCACGAGGCCTGCATTGAGAGGTCTCTGTTTGAGGTCATCCAAATTCTCAGAGAGAGGTATTACTTTCCCAATCTGGCAAGTGGTTGAACTGAGTGGCCTTCGGAGGTTAGGTAACTTGTTTGATACTGGTCACAAAGGTAGTAAATGGCAGGGCCAGGATTCAAACTCATGTATATCTGGCTCCAAAACTCATGTTATTTCCATTACTCCAAAGTGCATTTTAAAAATAAATACCACCCCCAACCCCATCCCCAGCTCTGAGTCAACAATAGATCTCTACATACAATATCCATAACAGAACAACCTATGACATTGCAAAAACTCTGGATTTTAAAGATCCCTGGCAGTTTCTGTGCTTTCAATTTAAAGATAAATGAATGGGGGAGGGAAGCAGAACATGAAGTATTAATAAACATCGTAAAATCATTACCTGGTCCCTTAAGTAGCCTCTGAAGTAAGGGCAGTGGGGGGAAAATTACAGTGGGTTTTTCCCCCCTCATAATAGATTGTACATTTCAACAGCTAAAAGCGTATGAAAATTTAACGGAATTTTTAATGTCTTTCTAGGTTTTATGATACCACAAAGAGATCATCTTTGTTCTCCTCACCACAAGAACAGATGGGTAGCAGGGGTGGTGGCTCCATGACTCACTACCTCCTCACGCCCGCAAAGACTGTCTAAGCAGCAGGCAAACTTCTGGGATCAATAGGGTTCATGGCAACGCAGTGTCTGCCAGCAAACCTTGGAGGAGGCCATTAGTCAACTGGTGACCTGCCACCCTGACCACTGCAGCCCTCTGATGCAGATTCTCAGAAAGGTTAGCTGGTGCTGGGAAACTTAAAAGGTCATGGGTATCTCGGAGTCAAAACTCCACAGAACCAGAGTGAAGAGTACTGCAGAGGAGCTACAAAGTCAGAGGTAAGGGCCACATTGGAGGCCAAAGTCACCACCTGATAGCTGTGTGACCAAGAAAAGCTAAGCAGAAGAGCTGCGATGTGTCACATGCAATAGAGAAGGCCAACCACTGGGAATGGCTGCCTTTCAAGAACACTGAAATAAATGACCTCTAAATGGATGACAATAATGGCATGAGGTCAGATGTCCAACTGAGATCCAGAAGCAAGTCCCAAGTCAATAACTTTCAAAAAACAAGGAAAAATAAATCCAAAACTGAATTGTGAATTTTAATGTGATTAAGGCACATGAAGCTTTGCAAGATATCATACTGTTCACTTATTCTTCTCCTAGAATTTCAGAGGAGCCGAGATGGTTCCAATTACTGGACAGTCACATCTTCAGCCCTCTTCTCCCTGTGCTTTTTCAAAGACAGAGAGGGAGGAAAGAACCTCTGAGGCAGCACTTTTCTTCTGTCATCTTGAGTAATCTCAAGTCAGCACTGAGGAAGGGAATGTCAGACAACACTCAATTAAAATCTAGATCTATAATTTACTAATATTTTGACATTGGGCAGGTAATTTGATGAGAAAACCCAAAACTGCTCAACTGCTTCTCAAATTCACTGGCTTTAAATTATGTTTTTCATCTGGGGCCCTGGGGCCTTTTTGTCAGTGGTCTTCATGAATGTGAGGCCCAGAATGAAACATGTGACTTCAGGCATCACTGGACTAGGACTGGGACTCTTGTTGAACTTAGTCTGAGAACTGCAGCTGTATCAGCGCAGCCCAGGCCAGGAGACTGCAGCTACATGGACAGATGTGCAGGATCTGGAGCAGACCTGTCTCTGATTCCATTACTTACTGTGTGACCTTGAGCAACTTACTTAACCTCTCCTTTCCTTAATTTCCTCATCAGTAAAATGAATATAGTAGTACCTGTCTAGACTGGTTAAAGGCATTAAACGAGTTAATACCTATAAAGCATCCAGACAAGACTGATTAATTTTGGATAGTCATGAGTGTTAAGAATAAAATACAACAGGGAAACAGAATACTGCTGGAGTAGAAGAGAGTGTTTGGGTGGTAAGGGAAAGCTCTTCTCTGATGACATTGAAGCTGAGATCTGAACAAAGAGAAAGAGGTAGACCATGTGAATATTTTGAGAAGGGCCATGCCAGACAGAAGGCAGAGTTAACGCAAAAGCTATATACACTGGAAATGTCTGAGGGACAAAAAGAAGGTCATTGTGGTTGGATGGTGACTACGTGGGGGCATGGTAAGCAATAAAAGTCAGACAGAGATCACGCAAGACTTTGTTGAACATGGCAAGGAGTTATTTTTTTCCCAGCTGCAATGGGGAGCCACTGGAGGAATTTAAGCAGGAGAGTAACATGATCTGATTTACATTTTTAAAATATCACTCTGGCTGCTGTGTGGAGAATGGATTATCAGAGGGAAGGACAGAAACAGGGAGACCATTTAAGAGGCTAGCACACAAATCCAGCAAGAAATAAAACTACTTTGAACTACGATACTAATAGTGAAGAGGGGCAGGAATGCCTCATTCCGGGTCCACTTTGGAGCAAAGCAGAAAGTACTTGTTGATGGATTAAATGTAAGGTGTAAGAGGAAGAAGAGAAGCATTAAGAATGACTTCTAGGTTTGGGTCCTGAATGACAGGGAGAATTGTGACACCTTCTACTGAGATGGAAAAGACCAAAGCTCATCAATCCTGGCTTCCCCA
Source organism: Homo sapiens (assembly GCF_000001405.40). Taxonomy (NCBI): domain Eukaryota; kingdom Metazoa; phylum Chordata; class Mammalia; order Primates; family Hominidae; genus Homo; species Homo sapiens. The sequence goes on along the minus strand of NC_000001.11, from coordinate 59,475,533 downwards.
AGTGTAAAACTGAAATCAAACCTATTTTACAAGTTTGGTGGAAGAAAAAAGCACAATAGTGCATGAAAAGAAAAACTCTTCTAAGTTGTAAAGCACTGTAGGAACATTAGCCATTATTAATTAACTAGTTAATTGTTAACCAACATATCCTGTATTTTTTTTATTTGCCTGTGGATATGCACCCCTCTATTCATGGAAAAAAAGCTAAAGATTGCCAGTCATGTGGACCTGACGAATTCAGGAAAACCCTTAATTCCAATTAAGATGCCTCTCAAGGAAGGTTTGTGATTATGAAATGTGATTATAATTTAGAAGCAGAAATCTAATTAATCTTATTGTATCTTGGTTGGAAAAAGGTTGTGTGAATCCAAGGAAGAAGCTCAGAAAAAAGGAAAAATTCCAAATCTAGAAGTTGGCAATAATTACCTGGGATTATTCAAGGGGTTATGGTCTTTGGCAGATAATCTATCACCTAGAGAGAAATCTGAATTCAGAGGAATGGACAATCATTATAGTAGTAAGAACTTTCATTTTCTGAAGACCTATTGTATGCTAGGAACTTTACCTGCATTATTACCTTTCATCCTCATGATATACTTACTAATCTTCATAATATACTAATTGAGGCTGAGAAAGATCAAGTAACTCACCCAAAGTTACATATGGCAGAAATTTCATTACAGATGACAGTCAGAATTGAAGTCAAGTCCATCTGACCCTGGTGACCAATCTCTTAACTATTACCATAGGCAACTGTGAACTTATTACTTATTTATTCTCGTTTATCTACATCAGTCACTTAAGGGCTTGATCAGTGTGTTCCTAGATCCAAAGGTCTCTGACTTGGGCAAAGTCCAGTTCCTACATTTGCATGACTGAAGATTGGACAATGGATTGGGTAAATTTACCTATGTAAATCGTTCCCTCCTTGACATTCTTCTAGTGGTTAGCTTCATTCAAATGTCAGTATCCAGATTGGCTAAATGTCCTCACATTGCCAAAAAACTCAAACAGGAGAAGTGGCAGGAAGGAGTAGAACCACCACAGGACTAAGAGTCAGAAGACCTGGTTTCTGGTCTCATTTCTGTCATTAAAATGCTGCAGGACCAAGGAAATTCACCTCACATCCCTGAGTCTCAGTTTTTTGTCTATAAAATGAGTGCATTACAGTAAAATCTCTATGATCCCTTTCAGCTCTGACAATCGCTGATTCTCCAGCAGTAGGAAGAGAAGTTGGGGGTGACCTCACTTTTGGGGGACTTCCAATTATCTTTCAGATGCCGTATTGAAAGGAGGAACATTTCCACAGCAAAACCTCTGAAAGTTATTACCTTGTATCACCATGATGTGGTCAATGTTACTCCTTTGCCCTTCTGGCTCTTTAGGGCTATTCCTGGAAGGGCCAGCAGCTGAAAACAGTCCTTCTGCGAATCTAAGGAGTGTGAACACAGTTGGAACAGAGTGATGCAGGAGTGAATATTCTTGTCCTCCAGGTGCCAAGGTGTACTTACAGTTGGTAAGAACATTTCTACAGGCTTCGTAAACCACACTGCCCTGTGACATCTGATATCACATTCCAGCTTCACAACAAACCTTTATGGAAGGGAGGATAGCTAAGGGGCAAGGTATGTGACTTTAGAAAAGAAAAGAAATGGGCTTGCCACCTGCCCCGACACACAAACAGCTTCATAGGAGCCACAAATATTCTAAAATGGCTCCTACTGCCCTCAAGTGTTATTTACTGCATTGGCAGGAGTAGTAATTAGAACCATCTCTTGAAAGGAATAGAGTGACTCCTGCCATGTTGAGTCTCTAATCGGTGGCCCCATCTTTGAGGAAAGTTAGAAGTTCCATCAGAAACTAGCCCCCCATAAACTCTATCTTGCCCACAACTACTCCTCTCCACCTTGCTTCAGGTCCACTATGCTCTGGCCACACCCAACAGTTCACACACACTCTGCACTCTTCCATGCCTCCATGTCTGTGCCTGCACTGTTTCTTCTGCCTTGGAAGCCATTTCCCCTCTTTTCTGGTAAACTACTGTGTCCAGAATTGCTGGGTTCTTGGTCTCACTGACTTCAAGAATGAAGCCGCGGACCCTCACGGTGAGTGTTACAGTTCTTAAAGGTGGCGTGTCCGGAGTTTGTTCCTTCTGATGTTCAGATGTGTTCGGAGTTTCTTCCTTCTGGTGGGTTCGTGGTCTCGCTGGCTCAGGAGTGAAGCTGCGGACCTTCGCGGTGAGTGTTACAGCTCTTAAGCCGGCGCGTCTGGAGTTGTTCGTTCCTCCCGGTGGGTTCGTGGTCTCGCTGGCTTCAGGAGTGAAGCTGCAGACCTTTGCAGTGAGTGTTACAGCTCATAAAGGCAAAGTGGACCCAAAGAGTGAGCAGCAGCAAGATTTATTGCAAAGAGAGAAAGAACAAAGCTTCCACAGTGTGGAAGGGGACCCGAGTGGGTTGCCACTGCTGGCTCGGGCAGCCTACTTTTATTCTCTTATCTGGCCCCACCCACAACCTGCTGATTGGTAGAGCCGAGTGGTCTGTTTTGACAGAGTGCTGATTGGTGCGTTTACAATCCCTGAGCTAGACACAAAGGTTCTCCAAGTCCCCACCAGAGTAGCTAGATACAGAGTGTTGATTGGTGCATTCACAAACCCTGAGCTAGACACTGGGTGCTGATTGGTGTGTTTACAAACCTTCAGCTAGATACAGAGAGCCGATTGGTGTATTTACAATCCCTGAGCTAGACACAAAAGTTCTCCACCTCCCCACCAGATTAGCTAGATACAGAGTGTCCACACAAAGGTTCTCCAAGTCCCCACCAGAGTAGCTAGATACAGAGTGTGGACTGGTGCATTCGCAAACCCTGAGCTAGACACAGGGTGCCGATTGGTGTGTTTACAAACCTTGACCTAGATACAGAGTGCCAATTGGTGTATTTACAATCCCTGATCTAGACATAAAGGTTCTCCATGTCCCCACCAGACTCAGGAGCCCAGCTGGCTTCACCCAGTGGATCCCGCACCGGGGCTGCAGGTGGAGCTGCCTGCCAGTCCCGCGCCGTGCGCCCGCATTCCTCAGCCCTTGGGTGGTCGATGGGACTAGGCTCCGTGGAGCAGGGGGCGGCGCTCGTCAGGGAGGCTCGGGCCCCACAGGAGCCCACGGAACAGGGGGAGGCTCAGGCATGGCGGGCTGCAGGTTCCGAGCCCTGCCCCGCGGGAAGGCAGCTAAGGCCCCTCGAGAAATTGAGCACAGCAGCTGCTGGCCCAGGTGCTAAGCCCCTCACTGCCCTGGGCCGGTGGAGCCGGCCGACCGCTCCAAGTGCGGGGTCCGCCGAGCCCACACCCACCCGGAACTCACGCTGGCCCGCAAGCACTGCGCGCAGCCCCGGTTCCCGCCCGCGCCTCTCCTTCCACACCTCCCCGCAAGCTGAGGGGGCCGGCTCCGGCCTTGGCCAGCCCAGAAAGGGGCTCCCACAGTGCAGCGGCGGGCTGAAGGGCTCAAGTGCCGCCAAAGTGGGAGCCCAGGCAGAGGAGGCGCGGAGAGCGAGCGAGGGCTGTGAGGACTGCCAGCACGCTGTCACTTCTCACTACCACTCCAATTTTCCAGACACATAAAATGCCACCTCATGAGAAAATTTCCTTGATACCACCACCAGTGCCAGTGACTGCCTGCTCTGCTTCTCCATGGCATCTTGGACATCTGTAGAGTTACTGAAAAACCTTGAGATTACTGATTCATTTACCTGCCCCTACCCCTAGTAGACATGAGATCCCCAAAGGGATAGACCATGATGAATTCACTTTTGTATCCCTAGGACTTAGCCCAGCACCTGGCACACAGGAGACACTTGGGGAGTGTGGTTGGCTGGATGCATGACTGGATGGATGGCTAACTGGCATGGAGACCTCCAAGTCATTCTTTATCAGGCAGAAATTCGATACTAAAGAGTAAAATAAGGCATCAATACTCAGAGGATAGGTACTTGCCTTCAAGTACTGTGAAGACCTGGTTCTGTCACTTAGACAGGGAAGAGAAGGATAATAAGAGGATAAGGTAAGATCAAAAGCTCAGGGTGACAGGCAAAAGCAAATCTCAGTCCAGAGTACCCACAGGGATGGCCTCTATATTACTCCATCTTCACATTGCTATAAAGAAATACCTGAGACTGTGTAATTTATGAAGAAAAGAGGTTTAATTGACTCACCATTCCACCTGGCTTGGGAGGCCTCAGGAAACTTAGAATCATGGTGGAAGGAGAGGGGGAAGGAAGGCAGGAGAGAGCAAGAACAAGCAGGGAAAATGCCAAACATTTATCAAACAACCAGATCTCTGAGAACTCCTTCACTATCAAGAGAACAGCATTGGGGAAACAGCCCCCAGGATCTAATCACCTCCCACCAAGTCTCCCCCTTGATATATGTGTGGATTACAATTTGAGATGAGATTTGGGTGGGGATGCAGAGGCAAACCATATAAGCCTCCCTCAGGAGAGGGGAGGTAATGGTGTGATGGGCCCCATTTAACCTAGAAAAGGCTGGGATTACCTGTAGTTAAAGATTTCTCCAGAGCTCTCAATATAAATTAGTAAAATTGGCACTTATATCACATGATACAAAGATGAAGCAGCACTTCAGCAAAGCTCTGAGGACAGAAATAACTGAATTATATGGCTCATTCAAATCAAAATGAAAAACAAGCCACACACTATAAAGAATGAAGACATGAATCCTTGTAAACATGTCCACTTTTACTGGAAAAATTCAGAACATTGAATATTAATTGCTCTAAAAGGATTTTACAACACCCACAACTATGGATGGCATCACTGGATTCAGGCTTCCAGCACTGGACATAATGCATGTTGTTGGTGGAAACCTCTATGGTTTGTTTACAAAAGGGAATTTCCTCTTCTTTCCCCTAAAATGAGGTAGTATTGGTGTGAATGCTCCCATTTCCTGCTTTTATAATCTCCCTTATTCCATCCATGGGAGAAGGAATCACTTAGCTGGATCCCTGAGACTGAAAAGATTGTATAATAGTATCCATGAGGCCGTGTTAAATGGGAAGTGGGGCCACAGTCCTGAAGTGGAGTTCATGAAGGCTTGGCATGTATCTCTGTGATGGTTTGAATGTCCCCTTCAGAAGTCATATTGATATGAAAAAAAGGTCAACATCACTGATCATTAGAGAAATGCAAATCAAAACCACAATGAGATACCATCTCACACCAGTCAGAATGGCTATTAAAAAGTCAAAAAATAACAGATGCTGGTGAGGTTGTGAAGAAAAGGGAATACTTAAACGCTGTTGATACACTGTTGGTGGGAGTGTGAAATAGTTCAGCCATTGTGGAAGACAATGTGGCGATTCCTCAAAGACCTAAAGATGGAAATACCATCTGACCCAGAAATCTCATTACTGGGTATATACCCCAAAGAATATAGATCATTCTATTATAAAGACACATGTACATGTATGTTCACTGCAGCACTGTTCACAATAGCAAAGACATGGAATCAACCTAAATGCCCATCAATGGTAGACTGGATAAAGAAAATGTGGTACATGTACACCATGGACTATTATGCAGCCATAAAAAAAGAACAAGATCATGTCCTTTGCAGGGACATGGATGGAGCTAGAGGCCATCATTCTTAGCAACTAACACAGGAACAGAAAACCAAATATCACATGTTCTCACTTTTAAGTGGGAACTAAAGAATGAGAACACACGGACACAATGAGGGGGATAACACACACTGGGTCCTTTGGGAGGGTGGAGGACAAAGGGTGGGAGGAGGAAGAGGATCAGGAAAAATAACGGGTACTAGGCTTAATACCTGGGTGACAAAATAATATGTAAAACAAACCCCCATGACACAAGTTTACCTATGTAACAAAACTGCACTTCTACCCTTGAACTTAAAAGTTAAAAAAAAATATGAATAAAAGCTCAGCATATTAAAACAAAAAGTCATGTTAAAATTTCATTGCCATTATGACAGTATTAAAAGGTGAGACTTTTAAGATGTGATTAAGCCATGAGGGCTCTGCCCTCATGAATGGATTAATGCCATTGTCTTAGGAGGCACTTCTGATAAAGCCAAGCCCCCTCTTGCCCTCTCTCATTCTTGTGTGTGCAGTCCCACACTCTTGCACCCTTTGCCATGGGATGATGCAGCAAGAAGGCCCTTATCAGATGCCCAGAAGTTATCGGCACCCTTGGGCACTGCAGCCTCCAGAACCATGAGCTGAATTAATCTCTGCTGATTATAAATCACCCAACCTCAAGTATTCTGTTATAGCAGCAGAAAAGAACTAATACTTTCTTCTTGAGCCACCTGTACTCAGGCCTGTGGGCTCTGAGTTCATGAATCAATCTGATCAAGTGCAGCTTGCTTCAGGCAAGTATAGGTGGCTTCTTTTCTCTTTGTCTCAGCTTCTTGGCCAGCCAGTGGGTGGATAAGTCAGTATTGTGCAGGTTCCAAAGTCTAGCCAGATTCCAACAAGAGGCAGAAGATCCCTGAACTTTGATTCAGTGTGACCAAAGCCAATACTGCACCCTTGCCTGAGGTGGCTCTGTTCACTGGCACATTTATGTCCCCAGCATATACCTATCATTAGTTCATTAGTCAAGATCCTTTTTTTTTTTTTTTTTTTTTAAAGACAGAGTCTTGCTCAGTGGAGCAGACTGGAGTGCAGTGGTGCAATCTTGGCTCACTGCAAGCTCCGCCTCCCATGTTCACGCCATTCTCCTGCCTCAGCCTCCCAAGTAGCTGGGACTACAGGCGCCCGCGACCACACCTGGCTGATTTTTTGTATTTTTAATAAAGACAGGGTTTCACCATGTTAGCCAGTATGGTCTCGATCTCCTGACCCCATGATCCACCTGCCTCGGCCTCCCAAAGTGCTGGGATTACAGGTGTGAGCCACCACGCCCAGCCAAGATTCTTTACTTACAAATTTTTAGCCTACATGACAAAAATATCTAAAGTGTAGCTTCATTTAATGTTCAGTTTATTTTACTCTATGAAAAAGTGAAATGCCCAACCTTTCTAAGATTAATTCTTGTTTTCCTTCTGTGAAGGAGTCTGTGATATTTCCTAAGATAGAAAAGTCTCTGAGAGATTTGCTACAGGAATGAAATAGAATTGCACTATCACTCAACATAGGGTGTATCTTCTGCAGGGACCCGTCTTATGTAGAAGGTGTTCATGAAAGATGACAGTGAACACTGAATTAAGGAAATACATTCATTGCCTGTTAGCTAGTAGTATTATTTAATTCAAAAAATTTACGAAAGTCCATTGTGGTTTAGAAACAATTGAAGCCAGTCGGGCGCGGTGACTTATGCCTATAATCCCAGCACTTTGGGAGGCTGAGGGGGGCGGATCACTTGAGGTCGAGAGTTCGAGACCAGCCTGACCAACATAGAGCAACCCCGTCTCTACTAAAAATACAAAATTAGCCAGGTATGGTGGCGCATGCCTGTAATCCCAGCTACTCGGAAGGCTGAGGCAGAAGAACCACTTGAAACCGGGAGGCAGAGGTTGCAGTGAGCCGAGACTATGCCCTTGCATTCCAGCCTGGGCAACAAGAGAGAAACTACATCTCAAAAAAAAACAAAACAAAACAAAACAAAAAAAACAAGAAAGAAACAATTGAAGCCAACAAGGGACTTAAAAAAAATCAAATCCTTAATTCAAACATATATTAACTCATTCAATGAATATTTCATCAGTATCTAAAATGTGCCAAGTGACTGTGTTTTTGTCATCTGACACCCAAAGTACAGTCTCATAGGGATGGAGGAAATCCATTTTATTATTATTTTTTTAATTTCAGTACAGTGGTGGGGAAGAAAGTGTAACTGTAATGTCATCATAGGAAGTAGAGGCAGTAAAAGACAATTATTGTAGTAACTCTATAATAAAAGGAATTACAGTAACAAGATGTAGCCTACAGGGAAATGTAAGATCAAAGAAAGGGATAAATTTAAGAAGGGAAAAGTATAATAGGTTTGTATGTTTTTTTTTTATTATACTTTAAGTTCTAAGGTACATGTGCACAACATGCAGGTTTGTTACATATGTATACATATGCCATGTTGGTTTGCTGCACCCATTAACTTGTCATTTACATTAGATATTTATTCTAATGCTATCCCTCCCCCATTCCCCCACCCCACGACAGGCCCTGGTGTATATTCCCCACCCTGTGTCCAAGTGTTCTCATCGTTCAATTCCCACCTATGAGTGAGAACATGCCGTGTTTGGTTTTCTGTCCTTGTGATAGTTTGCTCAGAATGATGGTTTCCAGCTTCATCCATGTCCCTACAAAAGACATGTACTCATCCTGTTTTATTGCTGCATAGTATTCCATGGTGTCTATCTGTTACATTTTCTTAATTCAGTCTATCATTGGTGGAAATTCGACTTGGTTCCAAGTCTTTGCTATTGTGAATAGTGCCCCAATAAAAATACGTGTACGCGTGTCTTTATAGTAGCATGATGTATAATCCGTGGGTATATACCCAGTAATGGAATCGCTGGGTCAAATGGTATTTCTAGTTCTGGATCCTTGAAGAATTGCCACACTATCTTCCACAATGGTTGAACTAGTTTACACTACCACCAACAATGTAAAAGTGTTCCTATTTGTCCACATCCTCTCCAGCACCTGTTGTTTCCTGTTTAATGATCACCATTCTAACTGGTGTGAGATGGTATCTCATTGTGGTTTTGATTTGCATTTATCTAATGACCAGTGATGATGAGCATGTTTTCATGTGTCTGTTGGCTGCATAAATGTCTTCTTTTGAGAAGTGTCTGTTCATATCCGTTGCCCACTTTTTGATGGGGTTGTTTTATTTTTTCTTGTAAAGTTGTTTGAGTTCTTTGTACATTCTGGATACTAGCCCTTTGTCAGATGAGCAGGTTGTGAAAATTTTCTCCCATTCTGTAGGTTGCCTGTTCACTCTGATGGTAGTTTCTTTTGCTGTGCAGAAGCTCTTTAGTTTAATGAGATCCCATTTGTCAATTTTGGCTTTTGGTGCCATTGCTTTTGGTGTTTTAGACATGAAGTCCTTGCCCATGCCTATGTCCTGAATGGTATTGCCTAGGTTTTCTTCTAGGGTTTTTATGGTTTTAGGTCTAACATTTAAGTCTTTAATCCATCTTGAATTAATTTTTGTATAAGGTATAAGGAAGGGATCCAGTTTCAGCTTTCTACATATGGCTAGCCAGTTTTCCCAGCACCATTTATTAAATAGGGAATCCTTTCCCCATTTCTTGTTTTTGTCAGGTTTGTCAAAGATCAGATGGTTGTAGATGTGTGGTGTTATTTCTGAGGGCTCTGTTCTGTTCCATTGGTCTATATCTCTGTTTTGGTAGCAGTACTATGCTCTTTTGGTTACTGTAGCCTTGTAGTATAGTTTGAAGTCAGGTAGCATGATGCCTCCAGCTTTTTCTTTTTGCTTAGGATTGTCTTGGCAATGTGAGCTCTTTTTTGGTTCCATATGAACTTTAAAGTAGTTTTTTTCAGTTCTGTGAAGAAAGTCATTGGTAGCTTGATGGGAATGGCATGGAATCTATAAATTACCTTGGGCAGTATGGCAATTTTCATGATATTGATTCTTCCTATCCATGAGCATGCAATGTTCTTCCATTTGTTTGTGTCCTCTTTTATTTCATTGAGCAGTGGTTTGTAGTTCTCCTTGAAGAGGTACTTCACATCCTTTGTAAGTTGGATTTCTAGGTATTTTATTCTCTTTGTAGCAATTGTGAATGGGAATTCATACATGATTTGGCTCTGTCTGTCTGTTGTTGGTGTATAGGAAATGCTTGTGATTTTTGCACATTGACTTTGTATCCTGAGACTTTGCTGAAGTTGCTTATTAGCTGAGGAGATTTTGGTCTGAGACAATGGAGTTTTCTAAATATACAATCATGTCATCTGCAAACAGGGACAATTTGACTTCCTCTTTTCCTAATTGAATACCCTTTATTTCTTTCTCTTGCCTGACTGCCCTGGCCAGAACTTCCAACACTATGTTGAATAGGAGTGGTGAGAGAGGGCATCCCTGTCTTGTGCCAGTTTTCCAAGGGAATGCTTCCAGTTTTTGCCCATTCAGTATGATATTGGCTGTGGGTCTGTCATAAACAGCTCTTATTATTTTGAGATATGTTCCATCAATACCTAGTTTATTAAGTTTTTAGCATTATGTACTGTTAAATTTTGTCAGTCTTTTCTGCATCTATTGAGATAATCATGTGGTTTTTGTCTTTGGTTCTGTTTATGTGATGGATTATGTTAATTAATTTGCATATGTGGAACCGCCTTACATCCCAGGGGTGAAACCAACTTGATCATGGTGGACAAACTTTTTGATGTGCTGCTGGATTCGGTTTGCCAGTACGTTATTGAGGATTTCTGCATCGATGTTCATCAGGGATATTGATCTAAAATTCTCTTTTTTGTTGTGCTTCTGCCAGGCATTGGTATCAGGATGATGCTGGCCTCATAAAATGAATTAGGGAGGATACCCTCTTTTTCTATTGATTGGAATAGTTTCAGAAGGAATGGTAGCAGCTCCTCTTTGTAGAAGTCGGCTGTGAATCTGTCTGGTCCTGAACTTTTTTTTGGTTGGTAGGCTATTAAATATTGTTTCAATTTCAGAGCCTGTTATTGGTGTATTCAGGAATTCAACTTTTTCCTGGTTTAGTCTTGGGAAGGTGTATGTGTCCAGGAATTTATCCATTTCTTCCAGATTTTCTAGTTTATTTGCATAGAGGTGTTTATAGTGTTCTCTGATGGTAGTTTGTATTTCTGTGGGATTGGTGGTGATATCTCCTATATTATTTTTTATTGCATCTATTTGATTCTTCTCTGTCTTCTTCTTTATTAGTCTTGCTAGCAGTCTATCAATTTTGTTGATCTTTTCAAAAAACCAGCTCCTAGATTCATTGATTTTTTGAAGGGTTTTTTTGTGTGTGTGTCTCTATCTCCTTCCGTTCTGCTAATTTTAGTTATTTCTTGCCTTCTGCTATCTTTTGAATGTGTTTGCCCTTGCTTCTCTAGTTCTTTTAATTGTGATGTTAGGGTGTCAATTTTGGATCTTTCCTGCTTTCTCTTGTGGGCATTTAGTGCTATAAGTTTCCCTCTACACACTGCTTTAAACGTGTCCCAGAGATTCTGGTACGTTGTGTCTTTGTTCTCATTGGTTTCAAAGAACATCGTTATTTCCACATTCATTTCATTATTTACCCAGTAGTCATTCAGGAGCAGGTTGTTCACTTTCCACGTAGTTGTGCAGTTTTGAGTGAGTTTCTTAATCCTGAGTTCCAATTTGATTGCACTGTGGTCTGAAAGACAGTTTGTTGTGATTTCTGTTCTTTCATATTTGCGGAGGATTGCTTTACTTCCAACTATGTGGTCAATTTTGGAATAAGTGCAATGTGGTGCTCAGAAGAACATATATTCTGTTGATTAGGGGTGGAGAGTTCTGTAGATGTCTATTAGGTCTGCCTGGTGCAGAGCTGAATTCAAGTCCTGGGTATCCTTGTTAAGCTTCTGTCTTGTTGATCTGTGGAATATTGACAGTGGGGTGTTAAAGTCTCACATTATTATTGTGTGGGAGTCTAAATCTCTTTGTAGGTCTCTAAGCACTTGCTTTATGAATCTGGGTGCTCCTATATTGGGCACATATGTATTTAGGATAGTTAGCTCTTCTTGTTGAATTGATCCCTTTACCATTATGTAATGGCCTTCTTTGTCTCTTTTGATCTTTGTTGGTTTAAAGTCTGTTTTATCAGAGACAAGGATTGCAACCCCTGCCTTTTTTTTTTTTTTTCCATTTGCTTGGTAGATCTTCCTCCATCCCTTTATTTTGAGCCTATGTGTGTCTCTGCACGTGAGACGGGTTTCCTGAATACAGCACACTGATGGGTCTTGACTCTTTATCATATTTGCCAGTCTGTGTCTTTTAATTGGGGCCTTTAGCCCATTTAAATTTAAGGTTAATATTGTTATGTGTGAATTTGATCCTGTCATTATGATGTAAGCTGGTTATTTTGCCCGTTAGTTGATGCAGTTGCTTCCTAGCATCGATGGTCTTTACAATTTGGCATGTTTTTGCAGTGGCTGGTACTGGTTGTTCCTTTCCGTGTGTAGTGCTTCCTTCAGGAGCTCTTGTAAGGCAGGCCTGGTGGTGACAAAATCTCTCAGCATTTGCTTGTGTGTAAAGGATTTTATTTCTCCTTCACTTATGAAGCTTAGTTTGGCTGGATATGAAATTCTGTGTTGAAAATTCTTTTCTTTAAGAATGTTGATTTCCAATTTCATCCATGTCCCTACAAAGGACATGAACTCATCATTTTTTATGGCTGCATAGTATTCCATGGTGTATAGGCTGCATAGTATTCCATGGTGTATATGTGCCACATTTTCTTAATCCAGTCTGTCATTGATGGACATTTGGGTTGGTTCCAAGTCTTTGCTATTGTGAACAGAGCCGCAATAAACATACGTGTGCATGTGTCTTTATAGCAGCATGATTTATAGTCCTTTGGGTATATACCCAGTAATGGGATGGCTGGGTCAAATGGTATTTCTAGTTCTAGATCCCTGAGGAATCACCACACTGACTTCCACAATGGTTGAACTAGTTTACAGTCCCACCAACAGTGTAAAAGTGTTCCTATTTCTCCACATCCTCTCCAGCACCTGTTGTTTCCTGACTTTTTAATGACTGCCATTCTAACTGGTGTGAGATGGTATCTCATTGTGGTTTTGATTTGCATTTCTCTGATGGCAAGTGATGATGAGCATTTTTTCATGTGTGTTTTGGCTGCATAAATGTCTTCTTTTGAGAAGTGTCTGTTCATATCCTTTGCCCACTTGCTGATGGGGTTGTTTGTTTTTTCCTTGTAAATTTGCTTGAGTTCACTGTAGATTCTGGATATTAGCCCTTGTCAGATAAGTAGGTTGCGAAAATTTTCTGCCATTTTGTGGGTTGCCTGTTCACTCTGATGGTAGTTTCTTTTGCTGTCCAGAAGCTCTTTAGTTTAATGAGATCCCATTTGTCAATTTTGGCTTTTGTTGCCATTGCTTTTGGTGTTTTAGACATGAAGTCCTTGCCCATGCCTATGTCCTGAATGGTAATGCCTAGGTTTTCTTCTAGGGTTTTTATGGTTTTAGGTCTAACGGTTAAGTCTTTAATCCACCTTGAATTAACTTTTGTATAAGGTGTAAGGAAGGGATCCAGTTTCAGCTTTCTACATATGGCTAGCCAGTTTTCCCAGCACCATTTATTAAATAGGGAATCCTTTCCCCATTTCTTGTTTTTCTCAGGTTTGTCAAAGATCAGATAGTTGTAGATATGCGGCGTTATTTCTGAGGGCTCTGTTCTGTTCCATTGATCTATATCTCTGTAAACTATCGCAAGGACAAAAAACCAAACACTGCATGTTCTCACTCATAGATGGGAATTGAACAATGAGAACACATGGACACAGGAAGGGGAACATCACACTCTGGGGACTGTTGTGGGGTGGGGGGAGGAGGGAGGGATAGCATTAGGAGATATACCTAATGCTAAATGAGGAGTTAATGGGTGCAGCACACCAGCATGGCACATGTATACATATGTAACTAACCTGCACATTGTGCACATGTACCCTAAAACTTAAAGTATAATAATAATAATAGAAGAAAAAAATAAAATACAATAAAATAAAAAACAAAACAAAACAAAACAAAACAAAAGAATGTTGAATATTGGCCTCCACTCTCTTCTGGCTGGTAGAGTTTCTGCTGAGAGATCCGTGGTGAGTCTGATGGGCTTTCCTTTGTGGGTAATGTGACCTTTCTCTGTGGCTCCCCTTAACATTTTTTCCTTCATTTCAACCTTGGTGAATCTGACAATTATGTGTCTTGGGGTTGCTCTTCTTGAGGAGTATCTTTGTGGTGTTATCTGTATTTCCTGAATTTGAATGTTGGCCTTCCTAGGTTAGGGAAGTTCTCCTGGATAATATCCTGAAATGTGTTTTCCAGCTTGTTTCCATTCTTCCCGTCACTTTCAGGTACACCAATCAAATGTAGATATGGTCTTCTCACATAGTCCCACATTTCTTGGAGGCTTCATTCGTTTCTTGTTACTCTTTTTTCTCTAAACTTCTCTTCTTGCTTTATTTCATTCATTTGATCTTCAATCACTGATACCCTTTCTTCCACTTGATTGAATTGGCTATTGAAGCTTGCGCATGTGTCACGTAGTTCTTGTGCCATGGTTTTCAGCTCCATCAGGTCATTTAAGGTCTTCTCTACACTGTTTATTCTAGTTAGCTATTCATCTAATCTTTTTTCAAGGTTTTTAGCTTCCTTGCGATGGGGTTGAATATCCTCCTTTAGCTCGGAGAAGTTTGTTATTACCGACCTTCTGAAGCCTACTTCTGTCAACTCGTGAAAGTCATTCTCCGTCCAGCTTTGTTCCGTAGCTGGCAGGGAATTGTGATCCTTTGGAGGAGAAGAGGTGCTCTGGTTTTTAGAATTTTCAGCTTTTCTGCTCTGGTTTCTCTCCATCTTTATAGTTTTATCTACCTTTGGTCTTTGATGATGGTTTTGTTGTGGATGTCCTTTTTGTTGATGTTGATGCTATTCCTTTCTGTTTGTTAGAGTTCCTTCTAACAGCCAGGTTCCTCAGCTGCAGGAATTTTCATAAAGTGGAATTTGCTGGAGGTCCACTCCAGACAGTTTGCCTGGGTATTACCAGCGGAGGCTGCAGAACAACAAATACTGCAGAACAGCAAATATTGCTGCCTGATCCTTCCTCTGGAAGCTTCATCCCAGAGGGGCACCCAGCTGTATGAGATGTCAGTCGGCCCCTACTGGGAGGTGTCTCCTATTTAGGCTACACGGGGGTGAGGGACCCACTTGAGGAGGCAGTCTGTCCAGTTCTCAGAGCTCAAACACTGTGCTGGGAGAACCACTGCTCTCTTCAGAGCTGTCAGACAGGAACGTTTAAGACTGCAGAGGTTTCTGCTGCCTTTTGTTCAGCTACGCCGTGCCCCCAGTGGTGGGGTCTACAGAGGCAGGGAGGCCTAGATGAGCTGTGGTGGGCTGCACCCAGTTCGAGCTTCCGAGCTGCTCTGTTTACCTACTCAAGCCTCAGCAATGGTGGAAGCCTCTCCCCTGGCCTCACTGCCACCTTGCAGTTCGATCTCGGACTGCTGTGCTAGCAGTGAGAGCAAGGCTCCCTGGGCATGGGACCCGCCGAGCCAGGCGCAGGATATAATCTCCTGGTGTGCCGTTTGCTAAGACTGTTGGAAAAGCCCAGTATTTGGGCGGCAGTGTCCCGATTTTCCAGATACAGTCTGTCATGGCTTCCCTTGTCTAGGAAAGGGAAATCTCCCCCACCCCTTGTGCTTCCCGGGTCGAGGAAACCCATTTAAAAAGCAGCCTCCCTCCACTCAAGAAACTGTCTCCTGCCCTTTATCTTCATTTCTGCCTCTCACTTAACACTTACTAACTTCCTGGACTTGGAATTTACATTTTTCTTTGCCTGGCTTCCCTGGTCCCAAATAAAGGAATGATCTATAAGCTAATACACTGAATCCCTTTATATGACAAACCCTGTTAGTAATGCAGATAATCACTCTATAATTCAGCCATGTTGCACACACGACTTTTCATAAAGTGGGCTACCCCAATAGTAGAACAAAGAGATTTTCCCAGGAATTAAAAAGGCAACCGCGGCATGCTGAAATGGCACCTGGATAATCAATTAGAACAGGTGGGATGTTGCTTATCTTCCTAAGGTCCTTTCTCCCTGCTGATCTCTTCCTTCCTGTTTGCTTTTGATAGATGTTTAGGATTAGATAGGTAACTGGGGAATTATTCATGTGGAATTAAAGGTCAAAATTTATTGACACAGATCAGTTTGTTGGATCATTTCATTGAACACAGATCATTTTGTCAGTAGGGCTATATAATCTCCTACCCAAAATCTGTTTCATTTTTCTCCATCAATTCTGAACATTAAGTCAACTTGTACAGTTTCAACTGTAAAGAAATTTCTATTCAATTGTAAAGAAATTTCTACTATATTCTTTTGATGCACAAAACTATTTTTCCTTACTTTGTGAATGTTCCCAAACCAAGCCATCCAAATACCTCCTTGAAAGAAGGCATTAGGTAGTAACATTTTAGCTTTAGAAACTTGCATGTTATTACTTAAAACCCTGTAAATTTTTTCTCCTGTCCTTGAAATGCACCATATAAATATTGCATTTGATCCTTAACTTACACTTCATAAATAATTCATTTTAAAAATATTCCTCCATAAGACCATCAGTTGCTGAGGTGTTCAGTTTTCAGGGAAAGCATTTATTTACTGCATGGGCCCAGGAAGCCTGGTAAAGGCTTGGCTAAAAGCTCCACATGGAGCAAATTATGGTAATTGTATTAATGCTCAAATCCAGGACGCTCAATGCTCAAATCTGCTAAAAGGTTTCACACTATATTGCCCACATCTTGACGGGCAATGAGGCCACTGGAAATGTTTAACACTTCATAGGGAGGCTTCTGAGATTCATCTTTCATAGTTCCAAGAATTGCTAAAGAATGTCTAGAGGTAGCTTCCAGAGGAGTTTCTGAAAGTCACAACTGAGAATAAACAGCCTCTTAAATATCTTCTACTTTGGGTTCAGACTGAAACTACAAGCTCAAGTGTCCAGAAGCGAAAATCAAAGGAAACATCACACAATTAATTTTGATAAATGGGTAAGTTCTAATTCACGTACAGCAATATTCTGCTTAATGATATGTCTCCTTAGGAAATCCATTAAAAATCCATTAACTTAACAGGGAAAAAATCTAATAAAGTTACTCTGGAAATTTTCTGCTAGATTAACATTATGGACTTCTAATGAATATTTCTTGTAGATACTGCTACGTTAGCAGAGCTAATATACTAATTAAACATGTGTCATGTGTGAGGCAGGAAAGAGGAGCAGAAAAATATAAAAATAATCAGAAAATCAGAGTTGAAGTTATACCCAATTGCCAAAGATAATGTTAAAATCAGTAAATATCATTACAGATTTTTAAAGGAAAGAGTGCCAACCTCCTAGTACCAAGCATCTCAATATTTTAATCAAAAAGTCACTGAGATATGAAAATATGCCATGCCTTGTGCTAGGACAGGAAATACAAAGGTAAATAAGTGAAAATCCTTATGTCAAACAGCTCACAGTCTAGTGAGGAATCAAGACACATATACAGGTAATCAATATATACACTAATAAAGCTATGTTTAACAACATACCATGGGAATATTCAGCAAAAAACAACTAATTTTTTGGAGGGCATATACATTTTACAAATCACTTAAACCATTAGGTAACTGAAGCTGAAATTTGTGTTCCAGTAAAATATTAGTTCCTTCTAGGTCCTCCCATTGGGAGAATTTCGATCCTGACTTACCATTTATTGATTCCATGCCAGGTTAGGCAAGGTTACTAATCTCTCTGATTCTCATCTGTAAACATGCAACAGTGCTTTTGTCAGTAGTTGTGAGAAATATATAAAACAAGGTACATACAAGCACAGAGAAATGTGCTTGGGACATAGAAGATGTACTTTACCACCCACATAAAAGGCCTTAGTCTGAGACCCTAAGGCCTTAGTTAGGAGCCACTGACTCGTTCTAGTTTCTGCTTTTTTCTAGATTTTCTAATATTGATCTTTTAGCTTTATTTTTTACCTGTTCACAGCCTTGCCTTGTCCTGTGAACCTAATTTGTAAAATTATTTTCGTAGTACTGACTGGAAGCAGTCCATACACAGCCCCTTGAGTATGCTATTCCCAAGCTGCTCCTTGCAAATATCTTCCTCAGTCTAGCCCATTTTTTTTTCCCCCTCAAAACAGAGTTCTGCTCTGTCTGTTGCCCAAGCTGCATGCAGTGGCACGATCTCAGCTCACTGCAACCTCCTCTGCCTCCCAGGCTCAAGCAATCCCCCCACCTCAGCCTCCGGAGTAGCTGACACTACAGACATATGCACGAGGCCAGGCTAACATTTGTATTTTTCTTGTAGAAATGGGGTTTTACCATGTTGCCCAGACTGGTCCCGAACTCCTGGGCTCAAGCAATCTGCCTGCCTCAGTTCCCAAAGTGCTGGGATTACAGGTGTGAGCCACCATGCCCAGCGCAATTTCTGATTCTATATTTCAATGCAGATTTTCATAGCATGTATCTCTACTCAGTTCATATAAATCTTAAGGCAAGAGCCTACTAGTCATGGCCTACCCATCATAATTAACTCATTTGTCTTGGAAAAAGTGAACTTCATTCCTGTATTTTCATGCATACAAAAACAAGAAACATACAAACCACAATAACAACAAACCCATCAAGATCCTCCAATGCACATAATCACTCTACAGATGTTTTATTCTTTTACCTATTTTGCTGTAATTATCTGCAACAAAGTCTTCCAAACCAATCATTTTCCAGAAACTGTCGTCCCAGCCTTTCTCTGCTGAATATGTCCACTTACACACCAGGGAGCAGAGAGACCTAAGAAAATAGAAGAGATATAGATAGAACTGACCATATGAGTGAGGCTTCCTTTATATTTTGCAAAATACCCGTCCAGGTATCTGCAGAGGTATTAAAGAAGTGGAATAAGCCAGTGTAGATAATGACACATCCCTGCTTAGGTAAAAAGTCTCCATGGATACCTGTTAATTATGGATAGTACCTTCCTTCACTTTCAAAAGTCTCAGCCCTGGCTGGGCACAGTGGCACACACCTGTAATCCCAGCACTTTGGGAGGCCAAGGCAGGCAGATCACTTAAGGTCAGGAGTTGGAGACCAGCCTGGCCAACATGGTCAAACCCCGTCTCTACTAAAAATACAAAATTAGCCAGGCTTGGTGGTGGATGCCTCTAGTCCCAGCTACTCGGGAGGCTGAGGCAGAAGAATTGCTTGAACCCAGGAGGCAGAGCTTGCAGTGAGCCAAGATCGTGCCACTGCACTCCAGCCTGGGCAACAGGGTGAGACTCTGTCTCAAAAAAAAAAAAAAAAAAAAGTTTCAGTCCTTTATTTGGATCCTGATTAAACAATCTGTATATGAATATTCGTATTTACATCTACGTTTACATGACATTTGTGAGATAATTAGAAATTATAACCTTGCTATTTGATAAAAAAATTATGAAATTTTAGATATGATATTGGTAGTTGTGGTTATGTTAACAAAAGGCTCCTTATCATTTAGAGATACATACTGAAAATGTTTGTATAAGATACATGGTATCTGGAATGCGCTTTAAGCAACATGAGAAGGAGAAGTAAATGGCATGTGGCTAAGGGCAAGATTGGTCATGGGTGGTTGTTGGGACAGAGTGATGGGTTCATGGGTGTTAATTATACTACTCTCGCTACATGTTCAAAAGTTTCTATGATAAAAAAAAGTTTTTAAAGTGTCTGGTGGAGATAATAAAGAGTATGGTCATCCCAGTCTAAGGCAATATTTAATAGGAGGAAGACTTGAACGCTAGATGCTTTCCAGCTACATTTCTCAATTTACCCTTAATATTCTGTAGTCTAACAATAAAAAGTTACTTACAGTTCTCTGAAGAAAGTCATGTTCTGACATACTTCAGTGCCTTTGCCCTACCCCCATCTGTTGGGAAAACTCATCCCAGCTTCTTCACCATGATAATTCAAACTCTTACTTTAGCCTAGGCTGAGATTCCAGTTCTGGGTTAGGCACTCCTCTTCTGATTTCCCAGAGCATGGAGTATGTCTTCTACCATAGCCCTTATCATGCTGGGTAAGTAACTGCTTCTTCATATTGCTCCCCTACAGTCTTATTGCCTTATAATCTGTTCTCCATATTGTACCCAGGGCAAACTTTATAAAATAAAATATTTTATGTCAATCTCTGATTAAGATCCTTCAATTGCTACGCTCTAACTTCAGGACAAAGTCCAATGCACAGCAGGGCTTAAAGAACCCTTTGTGATATGACTGTGTCCATCTCCACAGTCACTCCGTTCTGGCCATCCCCACCCTTGCCTTCTCATTCTGCAATACTGAATTATTTGGAGTTTGCTATAGTGAGCCTTGATTTCCCACTTCCCTGTGTACTGAACCCTTTTGCTTCATTCTTCCTGGAACAGTCATCCCCATTATGCATCTAACTCTTAGTTAGCCTTCATGACTCAGCTCAGATTGTCCTTTTTCAGGAAGCCCCAATGAAGGGCAGACTGAGTGAAAAGCTTCTTCTCCAAGTTCCAATCTGGACATACCTTTATCTTAATTTACCACAGTAACTGTCTTTGCCCATTCATTTCACCATCTCTCCCACTAAACCAGCAACTCCGTCAGCCCAGAATCAGCCTTACTCTTCTCTGTATCACAAATACCTCATTCACATTCAGGATTATGACAAGCCACAATGAACACTGACTGAATGGAAACATTAAAGAATGAATCGTTTGTCCATTACATGGTAGGTAAATGGTAAACCTGGGAGCTCATGCAATTTTAAAGATAACCCAAAACCTATCTCACAAGGACAATAGTCTAGATGTATCTCATTCAGTCACTCACATAGATTCATGCATTCACTCACTCACTTAATAAATGTTTAATATTCAGTTACTATGATCCTGGCACTATACTAGGATCCAGGAAACCAGTGGTATGCAAAATATCTAGTCTTTTGCAGTCACAGAAGCTGAAAGTTTAATTGGGGAGACAGAAATTGATCAAATAATCACAACTAAAATCATATACTAACAAACAGCCATGAATACTCTGAAGGAAGTAGAGGGAGAAATGAAAGCCTTTAGCAGAAGAACCTGACATAATCTGGTGGGAGACAGGGAGGAAATATCAAGGAGGGGTTCATAGAGGAGGTAGCACTGAGTGAGGCTTAAATGTCTTTTGAAAGCCAACAAATGTCACTTATCATTAATGATTTTTTTACATGTGGCACAGATCACAGAACACATTGAGCTATGCTAAGTGGCATAAATATACTGAAGGAATGCAAGCACTTCTAGAAACATGCTAAATTATTCACGGTTTTTTAAGCAACATACATCTCTAATAAGTGGAGAAGGCAGCCCACCTATGTAACATGTTCTGAAGAGTATACAATATGCTAACTCCTCCTGGCATATGACATCTGAAATTCCAACTTTTGGGGAGGTACGATAGCTCCCTGGCAAGAGTAATATTAGGGAGCAAAAGGCAGTATAGAAGGATTGTTTCCAATGATCCAATCACACAGGGTAACTCCTAAATCCCCAGATGTCCCATTCTTGTCTGTAGAGTGCTGGGCCTCTACTTTGACTTCTCCTTCCATCTTAATGGATTATTACTCCTTTCACCTATCTTTGTCTGCTTGGTAAACTCCAGGTTGTCCTTATGGTCCAGTTCCAATGTCAGCTCCTCTGTGAAAGTTTCTCTACTACCTCCAAGCTAAACTCGTGGCTCTCTCTCTTGAGGTACCATTGTAAGTTTAAAATATTGCACTGTATTTCTCAACAGCTGATAAAGGTTGAGTTCATGGCCCTAAGTCTTCATGTCTCCACATACCCACACTCTTTGCCATGTAACTTTGTAGTACTGCACCCTCCTCCTCCTGTCCCCCACATTGTAGGCAGGGCTTCCTTTCCTACCTCTGATTCTGATTCCTTACCTCTGACTTCTGATTCTGTCACATGACTGAATTTAGCCAAAATAAGGAAGCAGAAGTAACTGCATGCCAGTTCCGAGTCTGAGCCTCAAGAGATTCTATGTGTTTCTGCTTGTTCTCTTGCACCTCTGGCACTGCCATGAGATCATTCTAGGCTAGTCCACTGGTCCCATGAGGAGGATAAGAGAAACATGGAGCAGGGCAATAGCCAGCTGAGCTCAATCTGGATCAGATACCCCCAGGTTGTCTTGGATCAACGTGGATCAGTCAGCCAAGACTCCAGTGAGTGAGTCCAACTGAGACCAGAAGGATCACCTAGGACAGCACAGCCTAAATGAGCTGTCCATGAGTCAAATAAATGATTACTGTATTAAACTAACAAGCATTGGTTGTGGTTCATAATACAGCAATAGTTTAAAAACTCAACACTTCACAGCATAACTAAGTTTTTCCAAGCAGATTTTTTCCCCAATAAAGGGAAAGTTAGGGATGTCTTGGTCTTTACAAGAAGTTAAAATAAGAGAGTATGCCTGGAGTGAAGATGACTACAGAAGTTTTATGGCTACAGATGCCTCTGGCAACTCCCTCCTTCATTGGGATTATTCAAACAATATTAGGGTCCAATTCATTGAGTTTCTTTAAATCAAACTGATGGGTAATATGGACGTGCTATTAAGCAGCAGAACTGGTAAAGTTTAGTGAGTACAATTGAAGCCACAGGTACTCCAAAACTCTCCAGGAGGGAAAGAAAACATAGGACTTTGTTCATATTATTAGTGGGTAAAGGCAAGGTACTAGCAGCAGAACAAAGGGCTTACCCCTCCGGGAGTCTTCTATTAAGACCAGTTTTGACATTTCCTGAAGTGTTTTAGCAACTTGCCCTCTTTGGATAACTATTCACCTTTAGGCAAGCTGTACCTACTAGTCACCCCCACCCAAAGGTTTGTAAAATTAGAATTAGAGATAGGGGCCCTACAGAGTCAGGGCTACACTGGCAGTCTGAGTTGCTTCTAAGATTGGCAGCTAGAGAGGAGTGCTGCTTCCACCAAGGGTGCTCTAAGAAGAAAGAAGGGGCCACTTGCTGTTGGCCGGTTGGGTGACTGCCAGCCCAAGTGCCAGGGCAGGAACTGATGTACCTTTCACTGCTTTCAGACTTGTTAATGCAGAATAGATACTAAAAACCTATATGAAAGTCAAAATAGCATTTATCAATGAGTAGGCAAAACAAAAACATTAACTAACTTAATGGGAGTAGTTCACCTGAGAGACCACATAGAACATCTACAAGAGGCAAGTCCCACAGAAGTAGAAATGATGAAAAATATGGTAGAATCTTTTAATGATGAAAACAATGAGAAATCAGAAGAATGCAAAAAATTCTTTCTGGAAGTATAAATACTGATTTTACGTTTAAAATTTCCACAGAAGAACTAAAAAATCACTGACACTAATGAAAATCAAATTAATGCTCTGGAAGACCAAGTAAATGAAATATGACATATGACATCTGAATTTTATCTTTATCTTTATCTTAATTTACCATAGTAACTGTCTTTGCTCATTCATTTCACCATCTCTCCCACTTTGCTACTACAAGTAGCAAAGATACAAAGAGATTGACATAATGATGGAAGAGATAAGAGGCTTGGAGGACAGATTCCAGAAGCCTAACATGAGAATAACAGAAATTCCAGAACAGATTTTGTGTTTTTTAGGAGAGAGAAAAGGAATAAAAAAAAAAAAAGAAAAGAACAAATGAGGGAGATACTGTAATTAAATGAATACAGGGCTAGGTATTTTATTATACTGAACTGAAGTAAGATTTAAGCCCACAGATTAAAAGTCTCATTAAGTCCAGGAAGTAAATCCAGGAAACACTTGAATTTCAAGAGTAAACAGAAAATTATACAAGCTTCCAGACAGAAAGAATAGGTTACTTACAAAGGATTAATCCTAGCTAAGGGAATTCTCATCTACAACTCTGGAATGTAGAAGACACTAGAATAATGTACAAACTATTACGAGAAACTGATTAAAGAATCCTATACCCAGACAAAATATTATTTAGCTGTAAGAGGCAAAAAAAACATTTTCAACACACAAGGATTCAAAAAGTAAACTCATAAGCACTGTCTGAGGACAATACTTGAGAAAGAGTATAACCAAATAACAATTGATTCAGAGCAGCTTTCTCAATATGGTGGAAATCAAAGACTAGAGGAACCAGTAGACACTGAGACCCTTTCTCACTCTGTGTGTCTCTTTCCTGCATATATGTATATATATGCATGTATGTGCATAATATGCTTAAACATATACATATATGCATAAAAATATATGCATATACGTATTGAAATCTAAGTGGATAATAATAATGTAAGCAGGAATCTGTAATATTGAGTTTTCTTAAAATACAATAGGCTTGCTGTTCTACAAAAAAAAAACAAACAACAACAAAAAAAACTTAGTAACAGTCTGGAACTGAAAATAAACATTAAGTAAGCAAATATTAAGTAAGAGTCTAGAGAAGGGGTACACAGAAAACGTTCCTTGAAATACATATACATGTTTAGGCAGAACATAAGTTTATTGTTGGTTATAAGGAATGAGAATGTAACCACTAGTAGAAACAAAACACTTAGTAGGACTCTCAAAGTAACAAGGAATAAAAGGGAATAAAGAAAAAATTAACAAGCCAGTGAAACCAATAAACCACACAAAACAAAAAGGAAAGGGAATGGGGAGTGATGTAATATAAATAGAAAACAAAATAAGATGGAACAAATAAGGTCAATTATCTCAGTATTTCATCAAATGTGAATGGGCTGAATTCCACAACCAGTTAAAAGATAAGATTAATCATACTGTGGTTAAAATTAAGCTATATACCTTGTTTATAATTCAGATTTTTTAAAATGTGATTCAGTTTTCTTTCAAAAATGTTCTACAACAAATACAAACAAAAAAATTTTTAAATGACAATATAAGTATCAAAGTAGAATCAAGATCAAAAATATTTAACAAGGAAAAGAAGAATATTTCATAATGACAAAATGCTCAATCCAAGAAAACTACCATTCATAATATTTTATGAACCAAACAATGTAGTATGAAATATATGAAACAAGAGCTTCTAAAATTTAAAAAGCATTTGAAAAAAGACAATTCTATTTAAATATGTGATTGTACTTTCAGAATGTGAAGAGACATGTAAACTATAAGAGTAATAATAGCTATTATTATTACTACTGGGGAATTAAAGGGTGTTAATACAATCAACAAACTCAATTCTGTATACTCATATAGGAGGAGGGAGAAGGAGAATACTTTATAATTCATGCAGAAACTACATGGGTTAAAGATACCAAATGGAAATGTGAACACACACAAAGGAATGAAGAGTATCAGAACTGCTAAATATGTGAGTAAATACAACAGACATAAATTTCTTTAAAAAAATTGAATTTAAATCTTTATACAATCCAATGCATGAACAAATCATATGAGAATAATAGCACAAATCACAGGAAGATATGAAAGTGTATTATATATAATGAGGCATCAAAATTATTTTAAGGTCGACTGTGATAAGTGAAAGACGCATATTAGAAACTGGCAAGAGGTAAAACTTTTTAGAGATAAAATGGAATACTAACAAATATTTAAGTAATCTGGAGAATACAGGAAAAGGGAATAATTATATAGAATATATGGAAGACAGAAAAAGAAAATAGATTAAAACCCAACCAATAAATGTAAATGACCTAAAATCTCCAGTGCGAAGGCAGAGATAATAAAGCTGAATAAAAATAAAACCCAACTATATGGAGTTTAAAAGAAACTTATTCTACTTTTTAGAGAAGAGCTCACTCTGTTACACAGGCTGGAGTGCAGTGGCATGATGAGGACTGACTGCAGCCTTTAACTCCTGAGCTTAAGGAATCCTGCCACCTGAGCCTCCTAAGTAGCTGAGACTATAAGCACACACCACCATGCCCAGATTACTTTTTCTTTTTTTTATTTTTTAGAGATGGGGGTCTCACTATGTTGCTGAGGCTGGTCTCCATCTGCTGGCCTCAAGCAATCATCCTGCCTTAGTTTTGTGAGTAGCTGGGATTACAGGTGTGAGGTGAGTCGCAGTGCCTGGATAAAAACAAAACAAAACAAAACAAACAAAAAATACTTATTTTCAATATAAAAATGCAAGATAAAGAGTAAAAAGATGCAAAAATATGGCATGCAGGCTGGGTGTGGTGGCTCACGCCTATAATCCCAGCACCTTGGGAGGCTGAGGCAGGTGGATCACAAGGTCAGGAGTTCGAGACCAGCCTGACCAACATGGTGAAACCCCATCTCTACTAAAAATACAAAAAAAATTAGTTGGGCGTGGTGGTGTGCGCCTGTAATCAGCTACTCAGGAGGCTGAGGCAGGAGAATTGCTTGAACCTGGAAGGTGGAGGTTGCAGTGAGCCGAGATTGTGCCATTGCACTCCAGCCTGGGGGACAGAGCAAGACTCAGTCTCAAAAAATAAATAAATAGATAAGGCATGCAGATACAAATAATAAGCTGAGGTGGCTATATTAATATCAAAGTAGACTTCAGAACAAGAAATGTTACCAGGAATAAACAGGTACATTACATATTGAGAAAAGGGTCAATTCACCAAAAAGACTCATAAAGAAGAAATCATAATTTTTAGAAAGGCAACTCGAACTCAGCTAAAATTAGATCTTTTCTCCTTTTGTTTTGGCCTAGGACTAGCAAACATGTAATGCAAAAACTGTATATGAAATCAAGGATTCATGACAGAATGTGGTCACCTAAAGCTGCCCCTGTTTTATAGGTTTGCCTGAAATTCCAGTGGTCTCAGCAGCCCATGGTGATGAAAGGATCTGGCCCACTAAAGGAGTCCAGAACCGTGGACTATTTTAGGCATGAGTGTGTATGAGTGGGGAAGACCAGGAGGCACTGAAGGATCTATCTCATTATCATAAAAGAATGTTATTATTTTATTTTATTTCTTGATGCTCTATCTGGCCTTCTGGAAATTTCAGTATATAAGGTCAGGCCACAACCTCCCACAGCAGGGTCCATATCTGCCTTTTTCATCCAGTTATATGGATGAATAAGCACAATGCTACTCTGGCAAATTTTGAGAGCACAATGCATGTTAATTAAGTGAATGAATAAAAACCTTCAGATCTCAGTTATAGAAGGAAGCTTTCAGGTTCCTAATCATTTTTTAATGGCTTCTATTATAAAGCCTAGATCTTTAGATACTGCTCTGTATGCAGGCTGGAGAAGAGACAAAAGTTAGACTCCTGGAGTGCATGAAGCAGAACACTGGGTTCCTTGCATAGACCATTAACCTCAATGGAACCAGGAGAGCCTTCCAACAATGCTCTCCTGGTTTTGCCTACCTCACATTCCTCCCACCACCTACTGCCCAAGACACAAATGCATGCCAGATCTCTAGCAGACCTTCTTTCCTATTTCAAAAAGTACAAAAACAAAAAGAGGCTTCTGATTAAAGATGCCAGATTGACTACACGTGTTGAACTCTGTGCCCTTTAAAAATTCCAACAAAATGGTTGTACAAGAATGTTTCAAAGAGGCAAAAACCCACAATGAGAACAGGATAGAAGATGACAGCATCGAAAATCTAAAAGCCAAAAACCATGGTAGTAGTAACTCTCTTGGTAGACTTGAGAAAGGTAAAACCTAAATAGCAGCAGGAAAAACCCAGAAGCAAAATGATTACCCTACAGAGACCCAAAAAGTTCAGGAGGTGGTGGTGCTCACCACCCCTGAAAGTGAGGATAAAAATGAGGCTAAAAACAGCAGATGGTACAAAAAGTATGTTTAGGAAGTAATTAGATCCCATGTGACCTCACTATTAGCAACCAGGGTACTACTTCTCCCACACTACGGAAGAAAAGTACTAAGGTCCAATGTATTAGTCCATTTTCACACTGCTGATAAAGACATACCTGAGACTGGGTAATTTATAAAGAAAAAGAGGTTTAATAAACTCATGGTTCCACGTGGCTGGGGAGGCCACACCATCATGGTGGAAGGTAAAAGGCACGTCTTATATGGCAGCAGACAAGAGAGGAGGAGAACCAAGTGAAAGGGGTTTCCCCCTTATAAAACCATCTGATCTTGTGAGACTTATTCACTACCATAAGAACAGCAGGAGGAGAAACAGCCCCATGATTCAATTATCTCCCACTGGGTCCCTCCCATAACACATGGGAATTACCAGAGCTACAATTCAAGGTGAGACTTGGGTGGGGACACAGCCAAACCATAGCATCCACCCTTAGATAGGGTGCGATAAAAGGTCCAGGTAAGGGTAGAGTATCTTGACAAAAAGAGACTGATTCAGTATCTGCTTTTTTGCAGGCCAGCCCTCAAGCTCCTTTCCCCGACTCAGCTCCCAGAGCTTTGGCTGCTAGGTTCACACCCTGAATATTTATTTTTGGGGAATCTGACCAGAAAAAAGAAAAGATATAAGGCTAATTGGGAGAGCAGAAGGTATAGAGAAAATAGCCTAGCCAGATAACTCTAACCTTAGGAAGATTAAAATGAGGGAATGTAAGTAAAGCTAATATAAGTAAAGCTACTATAATCACCATCTTTATTTTCATCATCTTTAGTTTCAATCAGAAAATAGTTACTGAAGGTATTTCCCTCTATATACATATCAGAGTTTTCCTAGTTAGGTAGGAGCCTCCAGACTCTATCAGAAACAAAGCGAAAGGGTCACCAAAATCCGAGCCAGAGACCATGAAGTAGCCTCAGCACAAACAAGAACTTTTTATTCTCCTGCTTTTACTCAGAGCAAGGCGCACATCAAAAGCACATGCCTGCTGAGTTCCAGGGGCCTGATCATTCTCATGCATTTCTCCACCAAGATTTTATAAAAATGAAGCCGGCACTGCTGCATTATTTATACGCAGCTCACTGTACTGACATTGCCAGGCCCCAACTTTCAAGGGAAACCTTTTGTTCTCTGCTTAGGGAAGGCTGAACCTGGAGAGTCTCAATCGAACCAGCCAGTGAAGAACAGAATAATTAGAGCTGAGAGTGGGGATAAATTACCAAGATATTCCTGGCTGCAGCCTTTGGTACATCACAGGCCTCTGATGGCTCTGTTTTTCCAAGCCATGCAACAGACTGAATTACCAGCCCTGAAGATACAGCTCATTGGGAGATAAAATGACTCAGATTGGATTGCTAATTGTATCAACAAAGAGACCAAGAAGGCCTTAATTTCTGAAGAAATACCACTGCACCAATCGGAGCAGCTTCTGTTAAAGAGCTGTCAGATTTCAGGCCTGTTACTATTGGCTCTGTACTTCATCAAGACTTGCTGACAGGCCCGTGACAGGCTGAAATAATATATGCAATGATGCAACACAGGGCAATATTAAATTGCTTTTTCGGTCAGACTTGCCGATAACATGATTCAAACGTGGCCATGACAATATGGGGAGCATGAAAGAACTGAATAAATAATCGAGTTGAGGGAATTTTCCCATGCCACCAAAAGAAAGAGATCTAAGAGTCAGAAAACAAAAGATCTTAAAGTTGCCACCAAAATATTCCAAGATCGTGATGAAGCCCCTGGATTCACGGATTTGGATCTGTCCCCTAAAAAATAAGGACGGTACTAATTAGAGGCAATATGAGAGAAAGCAGGAAAGTAAAGAAAACAAGTGACAGCTTACTTAGTGCCTATTATACGCCAGGCATTATGCATAGAAATTTTATGTGGGTTACTGAATATCACAACAAACTTGTGAGGATACTATTATTAGTATTTCCATTTCACAGAAGAGAATACTGAGGCTCAGAAGTTAAGTCATTGGAGGTTGTATCATTAGGAAAGAGCAGGACAGAAGTTCAAAACCTGCCCTGATCAATTAAAAGTCCATGCTTGTTAACTACATGCTTATTCAGGCCCACTCAGGGAAAGATATTTACAAAACATTACAAAGACTGGTTACTCCAAGTGAAAATGTACAGTAATTTTGAGGTATTTAATTTCTCGTGTTTTTCTTGTCTGTTATCTCCTTTTTTTAACAAAGGAAAAATATGAAAATAAAACAGATGGAAGAGGTCAAGAAACACAGAGCTGTAGAAAGCAGTTAGCTGCCTTAGGTTTGCTGTGAGGATGTTCTGGTAAAAAAGGGTGTTCGGGAGATGTGTGCCATAGGCAAGGACACAGGGACAACAATGAGATGTTCTCTCAAGTTGGGAAAATGAAGTCTGGTTTTGAGAGTTCAGCTGTAAAGTTAATCCATAATGAGCAAGAGTAAAATATTCAAAATTATCAAAACAAAACAATGGCTTCCAGAACATTCAGAGCTCACAGGAACCATACTGAAGGCATTCAGATGGTTAAAGAAAGAATGTGTCAAGAGGATGATTAGGCTGCAGGAGACTAGAAAAAGAAGCAGCAGCAGAAGTGGAAGCAGAGGCAAGTGCCAGAGCAGGGAGGAAGAGGACTGCACCAGGTAGAAAGAACTGCATGTGCCCAGGGCTGGAAGTGAGGCAAGCAAGTGGCCACACCCATCTCAGCAAGATCCTTGCTGTGCATACCTCAGAAGCTGAGTGTTGCCCTGGCATGAAGAAAAGGAGCAAAAGAGCCATTTATTTCCCTCCTCCCTCTTTCTCTCCCTCCTTCCAAAAATATTTATTAGGCTCTTACTATGTACCAGGCACAGATATTATCTCTTCCTTCGTGGAGCTTAGAGTCTAGTAAAAGAGAAAAATCCATGAAGAGCTCACTCTAGTAATTACTATGAAGGGTAAGTATAATGAAGAAATATTATAGGGTGTCCATAGAGCTTATGGTATCAAAGGACATGTAAAAAGATAGGGAGAGATCTGTTAAAGGATACACAATTACAACTAGATAAGGAGAAATAAACTCTGTTTTATACCAGCGGTCCCCAGCCTTTTGGGCACCAGGACCCAGTTTTGTGGATGACAATTTTTCCATGGGTGGGGGTTGCGAGGAGGAAGGTTCCGGGATGAAACTGTGCCACCTCAGATCATCAGGCATTAGATTCTCATAAGGAGCGTGCAACTTAGATCCCTTGCATGCGCAGTTCACAATAGGGTTCCTGTTCCTTTGAGGAGCTAATGCCACTGCTGATCTGACAGGAGGTGATGCTCAGGTGGTAATGCTCACTAGCCCACCGCCCACCTCATGCTGTGCAGCCAGATTCCTAACAGGCTACAGACCAGTACCTGTATAATACATTATTGTTAACCCTAGTCATCCTACAGTGGTATAGAACCCCATGGGGTTGGGGAGCCCTGTTCTATACCACTGTAAGATGACTACAGTTAACAATAATGTATTATACAGTTTCTCATCACTAGAAAGAGGATATTAAACATTCCCAACACGAAGAAATGAAAAAGGCTTGAGATGGATATGCTAATTAATCTGATCACTATGCATTATATGTATGGAAACTTTGCTATGTACCCCATGAATATGTACAATTATTATCTGTCAATTAAAAATAAAGTTTAAATGTTAAAAAAAGAATCTCTACTTTGCCTTAGATTCCTTCATTAAGGGAGCAAAGACCCGGGGTCAAGGGTTTCCATCAAGCATCTGTCTACTCCTACAGTTTTTAATGGCAAACCCTGTGGCTAGAGGCCATTAAAATGGGGCTGCCTTGTGATGGTAACATCTTCAGACCCCCAGCCCTTGGGTTTGCTCCTGCCTTTCCCCTAGCCTCTTCTCCATTCTAGTAATGTTGGGTTTCTCACTCAATTATTTCAGGCTTATGATTCTGGCTTCTTGGACCTGAGGCTTGATCTCAGCCTTTGCCTCTGGCCATCTGAAGACTCATTATTGGACCACTCTCTAGTTCTTCTGAACCCCTTTGCTTCACGGTCCCATGCCCTGGTGCCAGCTTCCTCTGCAAGGTCTACCCTAGTGTATATATGAGGTTATTGGTACCAAGGCCTATTCCCAATCATAACTATTTCCCAGTGTCACTCAGAAGAGACAGAAAACATACATACCTATCTCAGTCTGACTCAGATAGGAAAACATTTCTAAACATTTTATAAGCTCCAATATTAAAATACCTCTTCCAGTGTCAACTCATTTTGGCCTATCCAATTACAGGACAACACAGTGTGTATAAGGACAGTGGTGTCTATATAATCCTTATCTTCCAACATTCTTCAGTCTTAATGGCATTCCTGACTTGCCATTTGTTCAGTACTGAGCTGACCCAAAGTTATCTAAAGTGTGCATAATCGGTAAGCCTGGGATCTAGTGCTACTGCCAAGAAATAAGTGAAAAATAGCAAAGCTATTCTAAAGCCACTAGTTGGGGGGTGGGGAGCAAGGAAAAGCAAGTTATCATATTAATATATGGTCATCCAAGGCTGCTCTGCCTTAAAGAGATAATGTACAATTCCTGGCAAAGGATGAAAGAGAGCAGACTGAAATAGTGTCTGCCAATTGGCCTAGTGCATTTCAATTCTTTTTGGCTATTAGGGCCCTTTATGATTAATTCTGGCCTCTGGAGTATCTAAAAAAATCATCTTAACTTGAGAATATTCTTCAATATAAATAAGCACCTGAACAAATTATAAAACAAATATTTCCTTGATAAGCTAGGATTATCTCTACAAATTCTCAGTAATAACTATACTATACTGTAGTGTAGCCCAGTACCCAGCAAGTTGTGGTCACTCAACAAATATTCTTTATCTTTTATGAGACACTGACAACTCTAAGAAGTACTGAAAAGCATTATCATTTCCCTCATACTAAAAATCCTAAACTGCTCTCCTTGATTTTGCTCAGTGATACCATCTGCAGATATTTGATACTTCAACCCCCTGAGAATATTTAGCAGATCTTATCATTCTAGTCTTCTTTTTCTATCAATTTTGGTTTAGGATCTAGAAATGATGCCACTCTTTTCCCATTGTGCAAAATACAAAAGTGTTGGACGAATTATTTCCCTCTTCCTATTCCTGTCTTTGTCAGGCCACTGTGCTCCAGGTGGCTATGACTGTCATCATGACAACGGCCATAAGTAAAGGGCACCATGGTGATGCTCTTCTCAGATATGATGTCAACTGTCCCATCACCCAAGGAACGGCCTACTCACATACCTCTCAGAGCTGAGAATTTTAACATGAACAGTATCCCTTTGACACAAAGCAGAAAGAGTCAGATTAAGATTTTCCACACAAGACAAAGAGGTAAAAACATTAAAAGGAAGTTGGTGAAGTAGAAGTACAGACCTGAAGATTTCGTACCTTTCAAGATGTCCTGTCTCTAAGGAAGGACAGGAAAAGAGGGAAAGGAAACAGAAATGGAAAACAAAAACAAAAACAAAAACAAAAACAAAAACAAACAAACAGGAAAATGGCCTTAAAATTAGGTTTTCAATATCTTTCAGGGATCAAGATGCAGAAACCAGCAGAAACAATACATCAGCTCTTCAGAAGGAGGATACATTCAGACTTGCTATTAAGGTAAAAAACATGACAATTTTGTGACTTAGCCATTTAAGAAATTCTTGTAAATATTATCTGGCCTCAAGGGATTAACAGTCTGTCAGGGGAAGAGAGCACCATATTATTTAGCTAATACGGGTAGAGCTAGAGTTGGAACCCAAACAATTAGCTGCAGAGTCCATACCTTTCACAACTATACAAACTGCCTCTAGAAACATACCCTCTGCATGATTGGTGAATTTCATGAGTGAAATACAAGATATTTAAGAGGAACAACAGAGGAAGAGGGCAACTCTACCTGGGAATATTAAGGAAGCTTCACTTGGGAGTAGCAGCTTGAATTGTGAGTCCTGAAATATGAGTAGGAGTTCACCAGGTGGACAAAGGTTGTAGAGGATACATTTCAGGCAGTGGACCAAGGCATTCAGTTCAAGCATAATCCTGCCCCCAGATGTGAAATGGAATAACTGATCTCCTAAAGACTCTTCCAGACTTTTAGATTTTAGTGCTGCTATGAAGAAGGCATTACAAAGTACAGTTTGGATCAGACATGGTGAAGCCATCATTCACTAGTGAGTAAGATATCCTCCTTGCTCTTCATTTTCTTCATCTGTTAAGAAGGTAACAGTAGTAATTATCTCATAAATTCATTAAAAGGTTAAGTGCAGGGTTAATTCACATAGCACATACCCAATAAAAAGCAGCTGCTCTTGTTACCATTGTTTTCCCCAGCATCAACATCATCATCATCTCTTGGCTACTTCTGAGAAAGAAAATATAATAAAGAAATGTTCAAATGAAAACCCACTTTAAGACACTGCTAAGAATACTACAGGGAACTGAGATGGGTTGTCAGCTAATTTGATAGCCATTATCCGAACTAAATGAAATAATGGCATAAGCAACCCAGTTCAGCCTGCTCAAGTCAACATAAAATTGAGTTAAGAATCAAATTCTTGGTTCTTATCTTGAATTTGCAAACCAATATTGGGCCCAAACTGTGCCCTCCTGCACAGTTAGAAGCAAAACCACTTAGAATGCTCTAGCCATTCATAGAGAGATGCACTGATTCCCAAACACATTTCTGCAAGCACTCAGCATGGCACTGCAGATAGATAGACGTGAG
Source organism: Homo sapiens (assembly GCF_000001405.40). NCBI lineage: Eukaryota > Metazoa > Chordata > Mammalia > Primates > Hominidae > Homo > Homo sapiens. Next base: position 59,441,187 of record NC_000001.11, on the reverse strand, counting down.
TACTAGGTCTTCTCCCTTGATTAGCTCAGAGAGTAGATGGGAAAATAGACATATGGAGGAAATGCAAAAAGTATTGTAAGAAAGTTTTAAATGTGGGTACATATATAAAGCTTTATGGGAGCACAAAAGGCTACAGAAATTAGCTCTGTGGAGGTTCTGAGAACTTCAATAAATAAATACCAGAGAAAAACGCAAAACGTCCTTAAAGTGTGCATCCTGAGGAACCCAGGATAGAGTACTTAAGTTTTCCCTTGTTTGTCCGTTCTCTGGCTGAAACAAACTCAAGAGTATCTTGAATGGGTCACACTTCCATTCACTTCTGTACTTGGTAACGCACTCCTGAAACACCTTCACCTTTCTTAACCTTGGTAAATCCTAATCACCTTCTGGTGTCAATTCCTCTGGGAATTCATCCAAAGGTGTGTTATTCGCCCCTCCACTGTGCCTTAATTGCTTCCTATCATAGCATTTATTGCATTATGATCACCTGCTAAATTATTTCTCTCTCCCATACTACACTGCACACTAGATGCAAGGATGGTACATTCTACATTTTAGTCTTCCTAGTAAGGAGGACACATAGTAGATGTTTAATATTTACTGAATCAATAGTTATCACTGATGTCTTCTTTGACCTACTACCACATACATAAATATCTATTTTATTTTTGCATAGGAAGACTACTTTGAGTGTTGGACTGAAGCTCTACCTTTGCAACTCAGTCCATAAGCTTAGTTTTTAAATGAGTTCATATTAAAAACAAACAAAGCCACCCACAAACAAAAGAGATCAGAGGCCCCTACTCAAATGTAAATCAATATGCTTGCTAAACTAAATGAGGAAAGAAAGCTGCCTGCTTGCTATCCTCTTTAATTTGCAAGAAGGAGCTTTGTGGGGTTTCTTAAATATGAAAAGATAAAAGTGCACTTGGAGTGTACATGTTCCTTTTTTATCTCCTTTAGAATTACCATGTGTTTTTCTAATTGAGAGCACTCTTAGGGCTTATTTAAAAACCAGATATGAGGGGGAAAAAATGGCCTAAATTCAATCTAATTCTCTTGTGTATCATTTCCGTTTTTTTTTTTTTTTTTTGAACCTTGCAAAGCAGTTTATAACAAATAAATTATGTCTTATAAATTAAGCAACTGGAGAAACTGAGATGGGAATGGTTGATGGCAGGCTTTAAAAGATACCACCACATATCATTTGAGGTCACAGTATTCCAGTTACCCACCAGCCTGGCTGGATCGACTAGTTTTAATGGTGTGAGACATATTTCTCAGTACATCTAAAATCAACGATCACTTACTAATCACACCCAGTCCAAGTTTTCTTAGGCAAAAAACCGTAAGTTGAGAGAGTAGTATTCAATGGTTTGGAAATATAGAACAAAAAGGAATGTCAGATGGAAAGGAAAATTATGCCTAGGGAAGAGAAGGATATGGAATAATGGAATAACCATCTTTAGGAAGAGAACTATTTTCAGTTAAAAGCAGCTGCTTTTCATCTTTATGAAAGCAATAAGCATAAATTTCAGTAAGGGAGGGTTTCGATCATCTGAGGAGAAGCTGCCTAACTTGTAGGGCTAGAAGACATGATGATGTGGAATGGGAAAAGATGACAGTCTTCTTTAAAAGGATCTTTAAGGAAAGGAGAGTTCTATCATTTTAAGGTGGCTGGGGAACTGTCTGGCATTAAGAGAGAGGAATGGATTACACAGATGATTTCTGGTGTTTTTATTAGTATTGTTGTTACTCTGGTTCAATGATTCTGTGATTCATTTCATTTACTATAAAGCCAAACTCTTCAGTCTCGACAAAAGTACAGTATTAAAGAATAATGTTTCTGGGAATTTCAAATTCATGAAAATAGTTGTTTCTAATTTATGGTCTTGTTTAAACAAAACCACACAAGTTCCCTTTTAAATTTCAATTAATTAAAATCTATTGAGCGGCTATGAGGTGCAAATTCCATGCAAGGTGTCAGGCACACGGAGACAAGACACAGTCCCATTCAGTACGCTGGAGGAGAGAAAATGGGCCCATCCATTACTGCAGTGTAGCTGAAATATAATAAGTAACATTAAAGAATTATAAACTGCCATGAAGTGACAAAGAATTAAGAGACAACATCCAGTTGGGCTGTCAAGTGCAAGGAAAAATAGAGGGAGAGAGTAGATTATGAAGTAGATATAAAAAATTCATGAGATAGTAAATATTATAAACATTATAGACAAAGATGCAGAACCGTGTATATTTAAATCATGCGTTGGAACAGAGACTGGCCTCATCCAGAACAAAGCTAGGGGTACTGAGGAAATAAGAAAACTTGGAAGTTGTTTTAGGTCATGGAAGTAACCCAGTATGTAAATTTCTAAATGTGAAGCAAAAGATATTACCCCAGAGTCAAAATAAATTCATTTCCAAATATTTTCCCCCTCAATTGAAATACATCATACCAAATTTTGGTATTAGTTTTTAAGATAATTCCTAATACTCAGAAGTTACAATTTAGGCAATTAACTGGTATGTGCCAAACACAGGCAAAACTTTTGGTTTCCCGGGGACTATAATGAATCCACAGGGAACTAACATGAGTTTTGATTGCCTGGTGGAAGAACAGCTAACAAGATGAACTTGGCACTTTGAGTGTTTAGAAAAGTTGTCACAATAGGTATCGGACTCTGAAAATTTTTTCCAAAGCACAAGGAGAGGAACAGCAACATTAGCCATTTTAAAAAATCTATGATATGCCTAAACATGAGCACTGGCTAATTCTGCAGAATTTGTAAAGCATTCTGGGTTGTATATTGAAACAAAGAAGGAAGTGAGTAAGTTCCCAACTGATACTTACCTCTCAAGTAAGCAGCCAGAATATTTTAAGATGCTATGTAGTCTAATGGAAAGGGCAAAGGCTTTGCAAACAGGCTAACTTGGATTGAAATTCCAGCCCTGCCACTTGTTATGTGAATAGTCTTGGGCAACTCTCTGAAACTCTCCATGTTCTCACATCTACAATGGTGGTAATAACAATGAACTAAAAGCCTTGGTGAGGAATAGACTGTAGTCAAAGGACCTCCTGGCACAGCAACTGACCCATATACTGGCCCTCAATAAACAATAGCTACTATCAGTAGCAGTCGTATTTCTTCACTTTAGCCTGCCACATTTAAACACTCACATACACACACACACATAAGTACTAAAAAGACTTCTCCTGAAATCTGTGCATCAAGTTTTATGGATAATCTCTCATTAAATGGTCTCTTGTAAAACTTCAGTATCTCTCCCTGACTGGTCAGAGGCCATGTGGGCCTCACTACTTCACTACATGATTTTCCTGCCAGACTAAATTGGCTCAGATTCCCTCAAAACAGTTAGTTCCCTTAACCCAATACTACTCTAGACTGGGAAGGGGGTCTGAAATATTCATGTATTTAGTGACATTTATGTAAAAACTCCAAACAGAACATTTTAAGTTAAATATATATCCCCTTACCAGGGGACTATAGCAATCACTGATATGTGCACATATATAACCAGATATAATCTCCAGAGCGAGCTGCATTCTGTAAATTTATAATATCAGTGTTAATATGAGTTAAGCACTTCCCTAACTCCTCCCCCAAAGCAGTCACTAGACCCATTGCTTTGAAAGCAGGATCAAGGCAAATACATTTTCAGCCCCTACACGTAATGGGTACACAGGATTTCATTATACTCTTTGCTGATGTGTATGTTTGAAACTTTCCAGAGAATGGGCCAGTCTAAAGGGGTGCAGACTGCGTGCTTAGCGCAGTGCCTGGCCTGTGATGAGAGCTCTACCACTGGGCCAGTTTTGTTACTGTCGTTATAGGGCAGGAGTGGGTTTATCTCTGCACTCACACTTTTTATATTCTGGTTGACTCTGTCTACAACTGGCTCCCAAACACCAATCTAGCAGAACACCCAACCTGGTGGTCATGGCAGACATCTTCACACATAATGGAAATTAAAGCACAGGGCTCCTCAGGAAACAATAAAAATCTGCCACCCATTCTATCTCCCAATAACCATGAGGAAGAAGAGAAACTGTCAGGAAGGTGGAGGACCAGGTATGAAGGATAAGGAAGAGCAAAGTCTCCAGGATGACATCCTAGGGTCTGGATCCTTCTTCAAAGACAAACTCAGCATCTGAAGTTCCTCCTCTGCTCTAATTAACAATGGGTCAGGGAAATGAGGGCCTGTGGCATAGTGTCATGGGAGAGTTTGGACAGAACTTGTAAACACCCACCTCCTGACCTTTCTCCAAGGACAGTGGCCTTAGGCAGTGGTAAACAAAGATCACCCCCGAAGAGCTACTTTTAGTCCTATTTACAACAGTAAAAGCCAAAGTACTTTCCCTTCCTGTGTTGTGACAAGACAACACAAGGCTTCCTGCACCCCGTCATTCAACTTTACCCAGTCTCCAGGCACAGGCTGAGATCTACAAAGAGAAGTGTTGCTCTATGCCAGAGAAATCCTATCCTGTGTGAAATTTCCCAGAGAAGGGAGGTGGCATAAAAGCAAATTCAGGAACTCTTCATTCACTTACTCTCATTCATTCATCCAGCAATTTATTCATTTATTTATTCATTTATTCATTTCCTTGACAAACGTTTATGTAAGCACCTCCTACCTAACGAGCCAGGGCAGAAGAAGAATGAGATGAACATGCTGTTGTTGTAGGGGCCATGGGCAGAAAAGCCAGAAAAGACAATAAATTACAAAAATAACTATAGAGTTACAACCATGATAAATGCAATGAGGGGCACTTGAGGGGGTTCTAGTCTAGTCCATGGGCTTGGAAGAAGTTTGCGGGGGGAGGAGGACTGAAGTTCAAATTTCAGGGACAATGAAGAGACAGCCCCATGAAACAGAAGGGCAGAGGGTGCCTGCCGTGGGAAGAGAACATAAGGAAGAGCAGGGAAAGAAAGAAGGTGGGGTGACTGAGGGACGGTGAAGTCAGTGCAGATAGAAAGGGGCAAGGGAGGATGTGCAGACAATTGAGGGTGAAGAGGCTAGAAGTGCTACAGGGGCCAGACATCAAGATTCATTGTCCATGGTAAACACCAGGGAGTCCAACCTGAGCGCGGTAGGGAGGCAATGATGGGATTCAAGCGAGATGCTGTCATGATCAGTTCAAATCCCGACTGTGCCACTTCTCACCAATGTGACACCAGGCCAGCCACAGTCTCTCTGACTGAATCTGCCCCATGAAGTCAGCTCCTCCCATGTGCTCGCTCACTCAGTGCACACACATTGCTTTCTCGTGTATCTCCTTCATGCTGGCCACTGTCTCAGGCAATGGGATGCAGCAGTGAACGTGACAAAAATCTTTGCACTCCTGGAGCTTACAGTCAAGTGGAGGCATCAGAAAATACACACACACACACACACACACACACACACACACACACACACGCAGGCACACACGTGAGGAAGGAAATAAGCAAGTGGCAAAGAAGAAAGTGACCCAGTAGGCCATCTTTGGGCAGCGTGGGCAGCAAAGGCCCACTCTGAGGAGGTGACATTGATCTGAGGCCTGAGGAATAAGAAAGGCCCTGCATAACAAGGAGACACAGGCAAAGGGGAGAGTGGCTGCAAAGGGGCAAAGTGCTTGTCTGTCTGGGCAAGTGAAGTGGAGCATAGAGCATGAGGGGCGGGCAAGGCTGGCAAGAGAGGCAGCGTCCAGAAGGCACAGGGCCTCTGTGGCATGGGGATGTCACTGCACCAACCTCAGGACTGGTCTGTGCCACGATCAAAGTTGCATTTTCAGATCCCTCAGGGATCTTCAAATGGAGGGGCTGGAGGGGCAGGAGTAGAAGTAGTGAGATCTAAGAGGGGGCTTCTGTGTTTCCTTTGTCATTGGACATACACGTTGCATTTTATTATTCCCCAGATACTGGCTTCAAAGCCTCTGGCAAAATATCAACCTCTTTGTGCCTTAGGGTCCTCATTATAAAACAGGGGACATAATATCCACTAACTCACATTGGGCTGTTGTGAGGATTAAATACAAGTTGTCATTTGTAAAGGACATTGGACAGTGCTGGGCTAAGCTCTCCATGTATCTTGGATATTCTCATTGTCTCACTAATTTCCTGTCTATCACTGCTGCCGGATCCTGAGCACCTCATCTTTATCTGCCCCGCATCTGTCCCAGTATTTATATTAGGTACTCTGTCAATAAGGAGTTGTAAATTTTTGTCTGAAGACTTAAATTGGCCCAAAGACATATTTTGTTTAGCTGATGCAGAGACTTCAAAATGTGTAACTGTGAATGTCTTTAGGTTGGCAATATAGACAGTGTGTGTATCCCCCCCTCAAAATTCCTGTGTTGAAACCTAATCCTCAAGGTGATGGTATTTGGAGGTGGGGGGGGCTTTGGGAGGTGATTAGGTCATGAAGAAGTAGGGCCCTTGTAAAATGGATCCCAGAAAGCTCATTTACTCCTCCCGTCTTTTGAGGACACAGAGGAGATGGCTACCTATGAACCAGGAAGTGAGTCCTCACCAGACATGGAATAAACTGGGGCCTGGATCTTGGACTTCCTAGCCTCCAGAACAGTGAGAAATAATTTCCGTTGTTTATAAGCCACCCAGTCTATGGCATTTTTTAATAGCAGCCCAAAATGACTAAGACAGCTGGGTATGCCCTCTCTAGTTCCCTTGGGCCCCTCCCTACCCTGTCTTGTCGCATATCTGCCAGAGTGTTAAGTGTGTCCTGCCTCTGCAGGCACTCACTTGTGAACCCTTGAAAATGCTATTGCTTGGAATGTCTGTCACAAATACAAATGACACAAAGCCACACAAACCATTCACTTACCTCCCTCCAGCCCCCACTGGTACAATGAACCACAGAATCTGACTTCCCAATTTTTTTCATACTGTCATTCACCATATATTTACTGAATACCTTCTAGGTCCTAGAAACTGGCAGAAAAAGACACAAAGTCTGCCTTAACTGAACTTACAATTTGGTGCCCATGAACAATGATACTGTAGAGTTTTCTTGGGTGCAAAAGGTATACTGATAGTAAATCATACTAGGGAGTTTAAGCCTTTTGAGCAGATTATCTTATTGTGTTTTAATAATAATCCCATGGAGGTAGACAGGACAGGTAGGTTACTCTGTTTTGAAGGTAAACAAATCAAGGATCAAAGAAGCTAAGCATGTTGTCCAAAATGAAACAAATAATAAATGGCAGATCTTGAATTCATGTCTCTGTCACTAACAAAAACACTGCAAAGCAGGGAAGGGTTAACTCCATTTGTGTAATAAGCCATAAAGTTTCCTCCCTAAAGCATGCTACAGATCTAGAATTTAAAAAGGAAAACTGACATCCAAGCACTAACCAGCACGTGGGTAACGTAACCTACACTGGCTTAGACGGTGGGAAAATCATGACAACGGAGCTGGCGAAGAATGAGAAACTTGAGTTTCCAACAGAGTTCTCATTGGGCTCTATGTGTCACCAGTGACACATCTGGAAATAAAAGAGAGAAATCAGGAAACAGAATGCAGCCCCTGCTTTGCCAGGAAATTTACAAAAGCATATTTTTGGTTAAGGCAAAGAGATTTTGCCAGGTGGTACCATGCCAGACAGATGGTCTCCATGACCCAGTAAGAGCTGCTCCAGAGGGACCCTCTCTGGTATTCCCCGTGAAGGCCTGGCACACTGAGATCATTGCAGCCACCACCACAGGCAACCTGTGCTCCAGACACATGAGGCCTGGAAAATACATCATCATCTTTGAGAGATCCAGCAGCCTGAACAATTCTGAAAATGCCCTTTTCGGATATGAACACTACTCAAGGCTCCTTGGCCTTCATTTAATTTAAATCAGTGGTTCTTAATCAGGGACATTTTGTCTCCCAGCAGATAGCTGGCAATGCATGGAGATATTTTTGGTTTATCTGGCTGCGGGTGGGGATATGTGCTACTGGCAACTAGTGGGTAGAAGTCAGGGATGGTGCCACACATCCTGTCATGCACAATGGGACAGCCCCACAACAAAGAATTATCTGGCCCAAAATGTCAATGGTGCCAAGGTTAAGAAACCCTGATTTCAATGTCTAAAACTGATGGATACGCCCAGCCTTGGAGCTAGGCTCTACAGATACAAAGGTCAGTTGGATATGTCCTTTTCCTCAAGAAGTTCTGAATCTTGTGGGAGAGGTAATCATGTAAGGAAATAACTGGCATTTAGTGTGACTGGATTGAAAACTACCCACAGTCTAGTGGTGAGCTCTGAAGTAAGAGAGCTCCCAGTCAGAACGATAGCTTTGCCGTTTACTTATTAACTATGTGACCTCAGGCATGTCACTTAGCCTTTCAATCTCTTCTGAAACTAGGAATGGGAAATTATGATACTGATACTACTCCTACACCTCTTCTTCCTACTACTATTACAGCTTCTACTAGAGAAACACCACTGTGACTACTACTAGAATTGCTGCTGCTGCCATTACTACAGAGGTGGAGTACCAGACAGACAGGAGGCACAAAAGATTGGGAAGCAGAGATATTTACAAACTCTGGAAACTGCCACTAAAGGGGAAAAACTTTTTTCTGCATACTCATGACAATTTTTACATCACGTGTGTGAGGGATTTTCCCACACTAACCAATACTCTAACTCTTCAGAAACCAACCAGGTGTCCCACAATTCAATTCTAAACTAACTACCTGGAGTAAGGGCAGATCACACAGGTTAAGGCTTCAATCCAAGACTGCTCCCATTTCAGATGCCAATCAAAAGTCTAGGCCTTCCATACTTCTGACTGATCAGCTACATACTGGAGGTTCCCATAACCCCCTTTTTTCAGGTTTGATAATTTGCTATAATGGCTCACAAAACTCAGGGAAACACTCTACTTAAATTTACTGGCTTATTATAAAGAATACAAATACAAATGAACAGCCAGACAAAGAGGTACATAGGGCAAGGTATGTGGGAAGGGGTGGGGAGCTTTCATGCCCTCTCCAGGCACCTCCACTTGTTCACCAACCCGGGAGCTCTCCAAACCCCATCTTTCAGGGATTTTTAGGGATGATTCATCACACAGGCATGATTGCTTATTAACTCAATCTCCAGCCTCTCTCCCCTCCTGGTGGATTGGGTGGATGTGGGGAGTAGGGCTGAAAATTCTGAGCTGCTATCCATCACATGGTCTTTCTAGTGACCAAGTCCCATTCTGACCAACTCCCATTCTGAAGTTATCCAGGAGCCCAAGAGTCGCCTCATTAAAGCAAAAGATGCTCTATCGCTTAGGAAACCCCAAGGGATTTAGAAGCTCTGTTAGGAACCAGAGTCAAAGTCTAAATAGTACAACAAAAGATACTCCTAGAATGTTGATCACTCTGGAAATTACAAGGCTTTTAGGAGCTCTGTGTCACAAACCTGGAACAGAAACTAAAAATATATTTCTTATTAGTCACAGCACCAAAAGGGAGAAGGTGTGTTCCTTCTTCATCTATTCTCCATCTTGCTGCCTTGAAGGAAGCTGTGGTTGAAAGCCACTTTGGATCATGCAGAAAGGGGCATCATGTTAAGCACAGTCCAATGCAGAAGCTACCTGGGTTCCTGGATGATCTCATGGAAAGCATCTACGTCCGGACTATCAGATAAACAAATAATCTAACTTATTTAAGCCACATCTAGTGCTATAGCCTAATAATACAGAAGTGTAGGAGTCAAAGGTACAGGCCAATTAAGAAAGGGCATTACTAGCAGAAGAAAGTCACATATGCGAAAATACAGAGTTGAAAGAGAATAAAGGGAACCATGGGGCTTGATCCATGGTAGTGTGACAGGAGGTAAGACTGGAGAGTCAGGGAGCAGCTGGATCACATTGGACCTTATATTCCTTATACTAGGAAGTTAGGACTTGTTTCCTGCCAGCAGTGGGATGTTACTAAAGAATTCAAATAGTTAAATAATATCAGATTTACATTTAAAGACAATACTAGGGATGTATGAAGTACTGTTTTGGTGGGGGTAGAGAAAAGAGGAGGTAGGTGACATGGGGGAGAAGTTGGAGGAAAGGCAAAGATGACTGGACCCAGGGAGCCTAGTTAGGAGGGCAATGGATCCCAGTGATATCTGAGGCAATATATAGATTGTCCCCCACTTAGCTAACAGTAATGGATATGGAAGGCATGCCATCAAGGTTTCTTGTTTGAGTTATTGGATCACAGCACCTTTACCATGATAGAAAACACAGAAAGAAAAGCAAATTTATTTAGGGAAAATGAGTTGAGCCTAGGGTGTCTATGGGTCAGCAGGTAGGGCTACCCAATGAAAAGTGTGCCCTTAAGGCTGGAGCTCAGGAGAGGTACAGGGCTGATATTCAGATAAGTCATTACTGAAGAGTGGTGTCTGAAATCATGGGAAGGCATGACATTTTGTTGTACTCTGACGACACTGAGATATATGACCAACTGTATTCAGGTAAACCTCTACTAGCAAATGGAAAACGTGTACCATCTCCTTTCCATGTTTATTATGAACCAAGAGATTTTTTATTAAGTCTACATACTAGGGAATAGAGGCAGCTGGGCAAAGTCTCAAAACAGAAAAATGCTAGAGGAAAATGGGCCCTTATGAGAAAAAATTCTCAGCTTAGACCACAGACTGCTCCTAAAAAAATCCAATTGGACCCAACCTTAAGTATGCATGCAGGGCCCATGAGCATACCTGACACCTGCAAAAGACATTCATGTCTTCCAGTGTAATATGAAATGTCTCCCTGCACCGGGATTTTACACCAAAAAAGACATGAAATGAATCCAACTCCAATATTCAGGGTGGTTTGGACCAAAATGTACCACAGAGAACATTCAGATGTGACTTTCAAGGCCCCTGGTGCAATACTTTGTTTTAAACAGAAGTAGGCGTTGACACTGCTGTGAAAGATTTGCCAGTGGCTCCAGTTATCACAGGGCAGAAAAAGCCAAGTAATTATTTTCTCCCCAATTATGGCTAATTCTCTGCAAGTTAATTCTTGGCTTTTCTAAAATGGGACCAGAAAATTAGCTCTTCACATGCAAAACTGAAGATACAGGACCCAGCAACAGCTTATGGCCTGGGGTTTATTCCTTATTACTTCTTAAAGTGTGAGGAGGGGGCAGGAAGTGGTGTTTTGACTTAGGCACCATTTAGCCAAGTGGAGGGAAAAATCTCCCTTCAGCTCTGAAACAGGATCATGCAGCTATAAAATTTATTGGACACAATTGAAGCAAGGGTGTTGGGTGAAAAGAATCAAAGAAAGAACTATGGGCTGAGTTCAGAAGGGTGTAACAAAATCTGCACCTGTTGTCACTCACTTATTACTCCAGATCTCCCAGGCAGCTTAGATTTAAACCAGACAGTCCTGAGGCCCAGCCTAGCCAATACTGGCCTATTTATTAGCACAGAGTAAAATATGTGCGTCACGTGTGTGTCGTGTGTCTGTGTGTGTGTATACATGCATATGTGCACACCTGTGTATGCATGGATGCATATGCATGTGTGCTGGAAATAAACTGAGAGAGAAGGAGCCTAAAGGGGAATGAGATTTAAGAGTTGTACATGTGTTGGGGGAGTGAGGAGACAGCAAACTTGGCCAGTAAATTACTTTAGCCTAGAAAATGCAAATTCCAGATTCCCTGATATTTACCATTTGAGGGTTGTATTTTCATGTCGGTTTTGATCAAATCCCCAGAATCGTTTTCACAAAAGAAAAGCAATAGCACCAAATGAATTGAGTTGATTTGAAAGAAACTTACCAAGCAAAAAAATCAAGAGGGAAAACTCTTTCTATAAAGAAATATCCCACTTGTCCTCCGAAGATCTCTGTTTCCACATACACTCTAAATCTCCTCATGTATATTTATTATTTTTTAACCTCTAAGTTTCTAAGATGAAAAAAAAAACCAGAATTATTGAAATTAACTTTACCAGGGCCACCAAGAGATTTACTTTGCTAAACGTCAACTCCCAGTCATCTATTTGGCATATCACTTCTCTTTAATCTTTTACATTCAGTGCAGCCATACATGTGATTGTCTTGTACTTCATTTGCGTGAAAGTGAAGAAAGCTGTCTGCCACATGGGCGTGGTCAAAATGAGTGGCCTGCTACTTGTCATATTTGCTGAGCACACCTAGACCAGAGAAAGCCCCAGCCAGAGAAAGGTACACAGAAAGAATGGTAAGGTTTCCTTCCTTTTTCACTCTAGCGGGTAAGGACCAGGATTTTCACTAAGTTCTGGACAACAGAACAGACATAAGTGAGAGGGATCCTCACGCCACCTTTCGTATTCAAAAGCACCTCTAATGCTGCCATGTGGTCCACTCAGGACTCACTTGTACCAAAACCAAAAGGTGCCATCATAGACTTCGGAGGTGGGCAGTCCTCAGCTCAATTCCCAGCCACGTGACCTTGGGGCAACATAATATGAACATGTACTGAGTGCTACTGACATCTGGGGCACTATAGGATGTTTTATCTGGATTATTAACTTAAAAGCTATAGCCCCATTTCTCAAATAAGATAACTGAGACTGACAGAGTTAGACAAACTGACCCAAGGTCACGTGCACCTTTCTCAAATAAGATATGCTCAAAAGAACTGGGCAAGGAGGCATTAATGAATCTCTCAATCACCTTTCTGATTTCTGTGTACTGATAGGCAAAGCCATACACACTGGCATCTAATTACTGTACTGAGGTATTCTCCAACTGGGAAGTAGTATAGGGTGGCAGTTCAGCGCTTCGGTTCTGGAGGCAGACAGACCAGAGTTTGAATTCCAGCTCCATCACCTATTAGCTGAGTGACCTTGGCAAGTCATTTAATCACTATGAGCCTGAGCCTCCCTATCCGTAAGGATGAGGGTTAAGTGATATAATATACATATGGTAAACTCTCAATGAAAGTCTGGTTGTGAGTATGTTCCTCACCATTGTTAATAGATCCCTGAGTAATTATTAAGACCAGAAAATGTTTCATGATCCCTCTAGAATCACTTGCAGGACACTTGGAATCATAAAACCACAGAGGCAGAAATGACCATCAAGTCTCATAATAGCAGGCAGATGTGCCACTGTCACACACTTGGCAAATACCAATAGTTGACTGCTCTTTCTCACTTAGCTGAGATGGGCTTCCCAGCCATCCCCCATACTGTACTCTGGACAGCAACTTCCAATCAGTAAGACTGACAGCTAATCTATCTGCTGTCCTTAATCCAGTCCCACCACCCTACATAAGAGATGATATGAAGCAGAAGGCCATTGGAGTTAAGTGACTGGCTAAAGGTCCCCTATCTAGTAAGTGACAACCCTGGCCCCTGAACATAGACCACCTAACTCCTCATGCAGTGTTACTTCCATCTCCCACTCTGCCTCTCCAAGCTACCGACACATTTTCCAGGAAATGATGGAAGGTACTTTGACTGCCTTGTCTTCTTCCTCAAGGCTGCACAGAGGGGTTGCTGCACTCAGCAGATTATGTGCCATCTTATTCAGACAGGCCCCCTTCTGTGACAGGTACAGAGGAAAGGGGAAAAATAAAGCATCTCTCAAATGCTTTGATTGAAGACAGAGACTACAGATGTTCCTGGAGAACTCTGGTTCTCAGGAGCATGAGCAAAAAGAAATTCCCCGAGTCCAGAGAGCCTGGACTGAAATTTAAGCTACAGCAATGTGAGTCATTTCAGCTGAGGAGGAGACGGCAAGGTAACCAACTCTTACCTCCGCCATCTCGTGTCTCATTCGGTCATGAGTAAAGCAGCAGCTATGCAGTTAGTGTCACCAAGAGATCAGTCACCACCTGAGGCCATCTGTTTCTGTCAGGCAGGCAGATTCCCAGCATGCACTGGTCCCAACTGGATTTTTGTGGGGAGGGAGGCAGCAAGGGCCCCAGCTGCTGTCACCAGACAGGGAGGCGCCTTCTCTTCACCTCCGTCCTGGGTGCCTGCTATGGACCTGAGTTCCCAGCTGTCTTTGTGGCTAGAGTCTTTCCTTGCCTGACTCAGAATATTAAATGTGCCCTCTTTCCAAAGGGAGAATTGAAAACCTTTTTTGTGTGTTCGTTGATTCATATCTGTGATAGCAAGAGGTGGGTGAGGTAGAAAGTCAGGCTTATCCTGTTTGCAGGTGGCATAATCAGTTGAAAGATTTTTATGTCCCTCAAGTCCCCAGCATGCTTGGCCTCTGAAAAAGGTTTCAAAACAAAATAATAATCATGATCATAATAATCAAAGCTGTATTAGCATTGCCTGGACTGGCTGACAGAATTGCAGGCAACCAGTTTTTTTTTTTTTTTCAGTGTTAATCTCATCCAAAGCAACTTAGATTGCTACAACCATCTCATCCATCCATTCAACAAATATTTACTGCAACCAACTAAGGTTCTAGACACAGTTCTAGGGATTGCGGAGCAAGCAGGCAGGTCCCTGACTTCATGGAGCAAAAGTAAACAAGTAAACAAAAGCAAAAGTAAACAAGTAAAAAGTAAACAAGGGCCAGGAGGACATAAATATATTAACGTAGGGGAGGCCTGTGAGTTAGAAATTCAGGGATGGCCTCTCCAATGGGGGAACTCCTGAGGTGAGACCAGGCTGGATAAGAATGTCAAATACACTATCACTTTTTGAAATTAAAACATATTGTGAAATTTATTTTTCAGTCCTGAATTACTGGTATTTTTGAGGGTGAAATAATGTTATTCCAGACATCAGTCAGCAACTTCATTCATCCTCCTTGACTCTTCCCAACTCAATTCCTTCCTCCTTCCCCTCCCTTCACTCCCCTTCCCACCCTGGATACCCTAATGACAAGCCTTCCAGGACCCTCTATGCCATGGAGCTCCGCAATTCCTCTGCCCCAATCCATTTCTGCTGGGGAAAGGGAGGAATTCAATCCCAGAAGAGCCATTTCTTCTGGACTAGCAAGGACAGAAGTCAAAATTATGGGAACTGGGAGCTGCTGACTAAAAGCGGAACTGCCCAGAGGTGGTGGTGCTGGAAGCTCAGGTAGAATGGGGTGAGAGATGGACATGTTAAATGCCCTCCACCCTCCTCCATGCAGGAGACAGGAGCTCTAAGGGTAATCCAGGACAGAGAGAATTGATTTCAAAAGCAGTACTCCAGTGGTGCACAGAGAAAAGTTTTGTATCATGTTCCTAAATTTTCGTATTTGAAACTTATTCAATTTCAAAAATTAAAAAAAAATATGAATTGTGAACACTCTTAAAATCATATTCCTTGGAATTATGTGGAATAAACACTGAAAAATCAATTCCATTATTTGGCTCCAATACCACCACAGGGTAAGGAGTCAGCTGATTTTCTGAAAAATGAAAAGAGCCAGAGGAAAAGAATGTCTGTCAAAGGGAACAGTAAATTCAAAGAACATAGGCCAGAAAAGAACTTGACATGCTCAAGGAAACCAAAAGAAACAGAGGTGGCTGGAAAAAACAGTGGGAAAAGGAGAGATGGTACACGACAAAGTAAAAGAATTAGACAGAGGCGAGAATCATGACCATGAATGAGAGCTTTAACTCCAATGTCTATAGGAACACAGGCATGAGGCAGAGCCTGCAGAAGGAAAGCCAGGCAATGCGGTTTGTCACTGGAAGAGTAGCTCTAATTTTTCTCCCAAAATGGAAAGCTCATTTCCCTTTCCCTCCTCTACGCATTATGCTCCTCCTGCCAGAAAAGCCTTCCCTTCACAAGTGTAATGGGAAGGGCGAGATCTATATATCAGACAATTTGGGGGCAAATATCCATTTCCAATTTTCCAATGTTAAAAAAGTAAAGAAATGTGATAGAAATCCCCAAAACACACTTAAAAGGCCATAAAAATACTGGAATCTATTATAATTCTAATTGTTATGTGCCAATATAATAATCATGCAAATTTAATCAAATGTTACTACGTCATCCAAATAATCCATGTTTCCCAGGTATTTCAGACACACTATACCTATATATCAGCTTTTACTTACCATTTATTGAGAGCCTAATGTACGCTAGGCATTATGCTACATGCTTTATATATGATATCGCTTTTACGGCTCACAAGCATATTCTAAGGGAAGTAATATTGATTTCATTTTATGGGCAAGGAAACTGAAACTCAGAGATCTCAAGATCACATAGCAGATAAGGGAAAGAGTCCAAATTTGATTCTAGATGTATTTGGTCTAAAACCCATATTCTTTCCAATAGAGCAAGAGCTTTTCTAAAACTGTGACTCTCTGAAGAGTAAAGCTCACAACCAGTTTTAGTGCTTCTTCAATGCCTATATCCTTCATAACTGGCTTATGTGTGAAGCCCTCCTTGACCACTTCAACCCACACAAATCATGCCTTCCTTTGACCCTAAACAGCACTGAATGGTGCCTACCATCCATTTATTCATTGAACAAACATATCTTGAAAACTGACTGTATGCCAAGTGTGAAGACATAATTGCCAAGACAAAGTCCCTGTCCTCAGGGAGCTCACAGTGCAAGGTGGAGATCAAAAATCGACACATGAAAAATAAAGTATTACCAGCACCAAACAAGCTGAACTAAATTGCATATTTTCTTGGTTTTCTTACTCATTCTTTTATTTTATTTATTTATTTTTTAAGAGACAGAGTCTCACTCTGTCGCCAGGCTGGAGTGCAGTGGCGCGATTTTGGCTCACTGCAACCTCTGCCTCTCGGGTTCAAGCGATTCTCCTGCCTCAGCTTCCCGAGTAGCTGGAATTACAGGCGTGTGCCACCACGTCCAGCTAATTTTTGTATTTTTAATAGAGACGGGGTTTCACCATGTTGAGCAGGACAGTTTCAATCTCTTGACCTCATGATTCGCCTGCCTCGGCCTCCCAGAGTGCTGGGATTACAGGCGTGAGCCACAGTGCCCGGCCTCATTCTTCACATGTATTAATTCTACTTCTCAAATGGGCTGTGAAGCTGCCATGTGCAAGCACTCTGGCGGCACCTGTATTTGTATGGTATTTAGAATGGTACTGAAGACACACAAGTTCCTCACACATCTTCATGCATTGATTATTAGCTTCTTTTCAGATCTCGGCCTATCATGGTAACCATCTTTATTTGCCTATTCACTCAAGTCCTCCTTCAGTTATTACACACTGACTGTAAGTGGCCTATGTAGTAAGTACTGTGAATGATTTGAAAACAACACCTTGCCTCCCCTTGGAGGGCACCATAGCCTAGAGAGGGAGGCAGGCAGATGTCTGTGAACAGGTGAGACAAGGTGGTAGAGTTGTGCTAAGAAAGAAACTGCTGAAAGGCTTCATGAAGGAGTAGGAATCAAAGAATGCATAGGAGTTTGCCAGGCAGGTCAAAGAAGGAACGAAACTCCAGCTGGAGAAACAGAGACATGAAAGTACCTGGTTTCCAAGGCATCTTTGGTGAGCCACGGTAGTATGACCTGCCAGAAGCTGGGTGGAGTGGGAGAAGCATGCGGAGAAACAGGGCCAGACCAGGAAGGGTATTCAGTGCTATGCTCAGAGACTCAGCATTTTTTCCTCAAGAACTGGGGAGTCACTGAAGGGGTTTAATATTGGAGGAACATAATCAGACCTTTATTTGAAAGAGGATCCCCCTGAGAAAAGTGGGCCGGAAAGCAGAGGACAGGCTGCAGATAGGAAGACCAGTATGGAGGCTGTTGTAATATACCAGGTAAGTGGCAGTGAGGGCTGGAATCTATTGCTGGGACTTTTCCTTTGCATCCAACATATTGATCTTCACGGTATCAGAGAAATCTGACATGCTGAATGGTGTCCACGTTGGCACAAAATTTCAACATTCTCAGGTCTGTTACAAGGTGCCAAAGAAAAAAAAATCAGATATGGGTGAACCACCTAGGAGAGGCTTCTGTGCTTCAGCTGCCACACTCCTTTGCCAAATAGTTTCCCAGAGATCATACCAGGCATTCTGAGCAGAGACAAAGGCTTTCGGTGGGACCTTTACCCAGTATTGGACAGAGAAAAACAAACTTGCTGGTACAATCCAGTAAAGGAAGCTCTGGCAGCTTGCCCAATTGGTCCAGTTTCCTGATCTCTGAACAGATTTCCCCTCCTGCTACACAATCCTCTGGAGCCAAGAAAGAATTGAGAAATAGGCTGGAGTGTTCGGAAAGGCTGCCTGGCACAATAGTATCCAAACACCCCTGCTGCCACGTGTTTACTATGTGACTCTAGGAAAAATACTAAACTTCTCTGGGCTTTAATTTTACTGAATACAAAATTGGGTAATAATCATTGCATGCCAAGGTTAAAATTAAAGAAGAAAATATAAATTATGAGTCAAGTTTACTATAATAGTAGGCCTTCAATAAATATCAGTTGCCTTTCCTTTTCCTGTCTTTCCTTTTAGTATTTGCCATTTATTAATATTTACCTAGTGCTTATATAATAACTGCTATATGGAAGGTCTTATTCATAAGCAAGTAACCTTTTTTTTTTTTTTCCTTTGAGACAGGGTCTCGCTGTCACCCAAATCGGAGTGCAGCGCATGATCACAGCTCACTGCAGCCTCAACCTCCTGGGCTCAAGCAGTCCTCCTACCTCAGCCTCCTGAGTAGCTGGGACTAAAGGCACGCACTACCTCACCTGGCTAATTTTCCAGTTTTTTAGTACAGATCGGTTTTTCCATGTTGCCCAGGCTGGTCTCAAACTCCTGGGCTCAAGCAATCCACCCAATTCAGCCTCCCAAAGTTGCTGGGACTACTGGCGTGAATCACCACGCCCAGCCCAGCAAGTCAAAATAACAATTAAAAACAATAACACCAACAAAAAACTTGACACATCCATTTTTTACAAGGTAGGACTATATGGAAATACAACCTCAATCTGCTCCTGAGCAACTGAATCTATTAAAAGGCATTGAACCTGGTAAATCACCAAACTATTGGAACATGAGAATCGTGTAGAAACCTGATAAAATTACAGATATTTAGATTCTATTTCTACCCAGGACTACTGAATCAGAATTCCCAGAGGGTTATCCAAGTATCGTCACTAAATTTTTTAAGAATTAAACTGAAAATCTCTCCAGGTGATTCTTGCCATCAATGACTTACTTTCTGAGGCTAGTTTGGGATCCAGTGATCTAATCTCTTTTTCTACATAGGCAATGATTAAATCAGACCAATATCACAGCACACTCTCAAAGCCAAGGGCTGACTCCAAATCAAAGTAACAAAGTAAGGGTGGGATCCCAGGTATCTCCTTTAAAACTCCAGACTAATAATAAAAAGGAAGTGTCCTTAACTTCAACCCAAATCCTTCACATTCTCATCATGGCAACGTTTTTAAAAAACAGACCACAGTGGCTGACTGTGGAGTGGTAGTCTAGTCAAATGAGACCTCAAGCCCAAGAAGGCTACTCAGAGGTCAAGGCATGCCCTAAACATCTACAATACCCATCTGGGTCCCTAGGAAGTGTCAGGCCTTTGTATTGCCAAGACAATATATCTCAAGTATACCTGCCAACCTGATATAAAACATGCATCCTCTTCTTGTCAGCCCAAATGAAGGCCAGAAAAAGAGAACAGAAGGGAAGAGAAGCTGGGGCAGTGGGGGAGAAAGGAGGGGAAGGAGGAGGGGAGGGAAAAAAGAAGAAAAGGGAGTGAGGGAAGGAGAAAAGGAGAGAGGGAGAGAGGGGGAGAGGGAGAGAGGGGGAGAGGGAGAGATGGAGGGAGGGAGGAGTTTTAACTATACCACACCCTGATTCTTTTTAAACAAATTCCAGGCTTTTAAAAAATTTTTCTGTAAATATTTCAGCATGTATCTATAAAAGGAGGTATCTTTCAAAAAATAGCTAATTATCAATATCATAATTAAAAAGAATAATTCCTTAATATCATCATATAGCCATTCTGTATTGATATATGCCTCCTATGTTTTACTTTTCTTAACAGTTGTTGTTTGAATGAGGGTTCAAATAAGGGTGACACACCACGAGTGTTCCATATGTCTCCTGTCTCTTTTTGTTACAGGTATCCTCTCTAACACTCTTCTTTTCCCCTTTGTAACTTTTGTTAATCAAAGAAACTGGTCCACCTAAGTGGCTTTTTAGGCTAGAGTGTATTCTTCATCAGAAAGAGATCTCCTTGCTCTAAGAAAATACTTGGGAAACTTTTTTTTTTTAAATTAATGATTGTAAGACAACACTGGATTTTTCAAAAACAGCTTTTCTGGTAAGTGTAAAGCATTATCAGAAACATGTCCTAAAACAGCAGTTGGCACAAATACCCCCAAAAAATACTTATGTCCAAAGCTTCTTGGTGGCCGGGCATTTGGGAGTGAATTTGAGCCTCTTTGTGATTACTGGGATCACCCATTTCTGTTAGTGTCATCAAAGAGAAAAAAAAAATTGAAAAGGATCTTTCTAGTCTTCAGAGATCTCAGCAATATAATATTTTGATCATTTCAGGGTAGAAGAATTAGAAACATATGGAGTACATTTCCCTTAATGGACACCAGGGTACAAGCACTTGGAAAAATACATTTGGGGAAGTCTTGAACCCTACAAGCTTGAAAAATAATTTGACAAATTCTGTGAACTCCAAATGCCCTGGAGTCAGTCTCTACCGTTTAAGTACACTGGACTCACAAAATGGATGAGGTTTCCTCATGCCTCTCATCATACCTTCCCAAAACAATGTCAAAGACTGAGATCCAAGGACAAATACAGCCTCTGCCTTTGGGGTATTGCTGGCAAGGTAATAGAGCCCTGTTTTCACAACACGTGGGAAGTACATACCCAACTCCTTGGGAATAACGACTTCACTAATGTGGGTCTTGTCAAGGGTCAGTCTTTTCTAATGTTATCACCTCTATCTGTACCACCATTGGAAAAATTCCTAATTCCCTCTGGACATTGATCCAGCCACCCAAAATCAGATTCAGGAGACATTTTCTGGTGCCTCACAGCATTTGGAGTCAGGATGTACAGAGAGAGAGAAGCTACACACATGAGATGTTCATTTATTTCCACTCAGGGATAAGGTACAATTCTGCCTTGTGAAGGGCCCAAAGCGGCTGCTTATAACAAATTTACATTTCATAATTTCAGGAACTGGTGAGGATTCAACTAGTGAACAAGCCAAGATGCTTTCTTGAAGAGCATCGTCACAGAATGAAAACTGTCAAATCACTACACATTATCTCATTTTGAATTAAACTTCAGAAGATTCTGAACTAATAGGCTTACAAATGGAAAGCCAACTTATCAACAGCTTAGCAGCATTTACCATAGAGTTGTTTGCAAAATTGGCTTTGAAAATATGCTGTGTACTCAAAGGCTAGGATTAGCATGTTGAAAAAAAAATCCATTGACACATAATTTGCATGTGTGATTTTCTAAGCCCACATGGATAATTCATCTTCACTGACGGCAGACACTCTCAGGCAAACCTCCATATTATGCTTAACTCTGGACCTAAAATCATCAATTAGTAGTTCATCAAGAATCCTTTTCTCCTCTTAGGGCCTTTTAGAACTGAGCCACGGAGAATAAGTTCACTACCCCATTTAGAAGTCAACTCTTCCAAGGCCACAGCGAGTTTCCCCGTACAACTCCAATCTCATAACTTTCTGAGAGTCACAGATGTTCTCAGATGAATACTTGGAACCAGTTCTCTAGGTTTCCAGGGTGATTCCCCTGGGATATAAAAAGAGCATATCCAAGCCCCACTCTTCATAACTCATTTAAATCAATACTGCTTTTTACTCAGCTCATAGTGAGTAGGTTAGTCAGGATAAGAATTATCAGCTTGGTGGTCTATGTCTCTACTGATGCAATTAGCAAGATAATTACCAGATCTTTATTTTAATACAAAATACAAAGCTTAACTGGTATTTTTTTACCTCTAGCCTCATTTCCTCCAATATTCTTTTCACAATGCTGCCAGAGGGTTGTCTAAAAAGCCATAATCATATAATGTCCTACTTAAAAATATTTGACGGCTTCTTGCCACTTAGAGGATTTTAGAAAACCACCACTGCCACTAGCACCACAACCACCACCACCAACCAGAACAAAACAACATTGATATGCATTGCGGACCCTTTATAATCTGGTTCCAGTCTCTATTCCTAGCCTTCTCTACAGCCATAGCTCCTACAGCCAGTTTTCAGCCATACCAAACGTCTTACCATTCTCTTTATTTCAGTATGCCAGGCCCCTTCTGGCTTCCATACTTTTCTATGTATTGTCCCTAGGAAACCCTGGCCTGTAGCCCAAATGTGCCTGCTGCCAGTTTTTGTAAATAAAGTTCCATTAGAACACAGCCATGTCCATTCATTTATGGCCTGTCTTAGGCTGCTTTTTCACTATAAGGACAAAGTTGTGTGAAAGGAAAATAAAATCTTTGGACCCCAAACTCACTATGTTAAAGAGAAAAGTTAAGCTTGGGAACTGAGTCACACACACACACACAAAAAAAGAAAAAATCAAAAAACTGCCATCCTTTTGTTCTCAAATGGGTTGCTGTAACTTCACATGCTTCCTTTATCTTACGTAAAATGTAGATTTACTGAGCATAAATGACTTTCCCCCACTCCTCTTTTCACATGTAAACTGTGGATTTGGTGAGCACTAATCAAAGCCTCACAAGAATGTAACCACTTGCCTCATCGCCTATGCCCCTCAAACTTTTTTTTTTCTTTCCTCCTTCCCTTCCTGCTCACTCTTTCCCTTTTAAATCCTGAAGTCCTCACAATCCTCTTTGGACAAAACACCAGTCACAGATCCTAACGTAACTTGTGTTTATTTTCTCGGGTGCTTCCTCAACCTTGGCAAAATAAACCTCTCTAAATCGATTGAAATCTGTCTCAGACACTTTTTGGTTACAGTTCAATAGTTGAAACAGATATCATATAGTCAGCAAAGCCAAAATATTTACTATCTGACCCTTTGCAAAAGACATCTGCCAAGCCCTGGTCTAGAATTTTGCCCTCCCACTCAACCCCTGCCCCAGTTCTTCCCTTGGTAAACTCTGATGCATCTTTAGGAGTTATACACTGAGTCTGCATAACCTCCTTTTCTGGGACCAGGACACCTCACTCTTTCTGGAGTACCAATCCTTCCTTAGCTTAACAAAACCTCAATTTTATTTAGAGAAGTCATATGCCCAGCTATAAGTGATCAATCATGGTGGTTCTAAGCCAGTGCTGTCCAACAGAAGTTTCTGCAATCATGTAAATTATCTTTATCTGCAACTGTCCAATAACATAGCCACTATCCACACACAGCAACTGAGCACTTGAAATGTGGCCAGTATGACTGAGGAACTAAGTTTTCTATTTTACTTAAAGTTAATTAATTTAAATTTAAGTACCTATTATAATTCAACAATAAAAAGACAATCCAATTTTATAATGGGCATATGATCTGAACAGACATTTCTGCAAAGAATATATACAAATGGAAAATAGGCACATTAAATATTCTCAACATTAGTAGTCATTACATAAAGGCAAACCAAAACCACAATGAGATACCACTTCACACCCACTAAGATGGTTATAATAAAAACAAACAAAAAATAACAAGTGCTCACAAGGATGTGGAGAAATTGGAATCCTTACATGTTCCTACCAGGATGTACAAAATGTGTAGCCACTTTGGAAAACAGTTTGACATTTCCTCAAAGGGTTAAACATGGTGTTACCATAAAACCCAACAATTCCACTCCTTCTAATAGGCTCAAGAGAATTCAAAGAAAAATCAAAACTATGTTGATATAAAAACTTGTACATCAATCAGTGTTCACAGCAGCATTAGTCACAGTAACTAAAAAGTGAAACAATCTAAATGTCCATCAACAGATGAATGGATAAACAAAATAGGATACATCCATGCAACAGAGTATTATCAATTAAAACAGGAACTGATAAAAAAATTACTGGCACATACTACAACATAGATGAACCCTGAAAAAATTATGCCAAGTGAAAGAAGCCAAACAAAATGTCCAGGAAAATCCATAGAGAAAGAAAGTAGGCTAGTGGTTGCCAATGGCTAGGTGTAGAGGGATATGAGGACTTACTGCTACGGATATGAGATTTCTTTTGAGGGCGAAGAAAATGTTTTGGAATCGGATACTGGGGTATGGTTGCATAATCCTGTGAATATACTAGAAATACTATACTGTATACATAAAATGGTGAATTTTAGGGTATATGAATTATATCTCTCTAAAAAAATTTAAATAGCCATATAGCTAGTAACTATCATATTGGAATGTGCAGGTTTAAGCCAACCATGATAATCTTGTTTTCCACTTTCCCTGCTTCTTGCTGCTAAGAGTGGCCATGGGACTTAATTCCAGCCAATAAGACCTAAGCAGAAGTATAGTAGGAAGAGAAGATTCCTGGGAAAGGTTTTGCTCCTCTCATTTAAAAAACAAAACAAAAAATCTCATCATGCTCTTCTCACCAATTCTTCCAGCATCAAAGGAGAATGTAACGTCCAGAGATGCAGCAACTATCCTACAACCATGAGGCAGCTAGCATGAGGGAAAAGTCCAAAGAATTAAAGATATGCTGAAGGTGACATGGTCAAATCATCTTTGTACTTGTAATTTAGGGGTGTGAGAGTGGGAAATCAAGACTATTTGTGTTTTGGTCACTGTCAAATGGATATATGGTGAAATGATTTAATATAGTATATGTAAGGCATTCATAACAGTTCCTGGTGCATAACTACTAAATAAGTTAGGTATGATTATTGTCATCATAAATCACTCTCAAACTTTTTTTTCACTATCGCCCCCACTAAAGACCCTTTCCAGACAGTCTTTTCCTTTTCCCTGCCACTGTGAAATTTCAATACCACAGACAGATTGTGTATCTACTTATGCTGTTACATAAGGATGGGCTTTAGAAGGCCACAAATGATTGTAATATCTAAGATCTTTTTCATCCCCCAAGAACCAATTTTTGCTCCCTTGCAAATGCATTCCTGATACATGCTTCTTCCCCACTGCAACTAACTGATTTAAATAAAAGCTTTTTTGCATTGTCACTGCAGCTGAAAGCATTCCTAACTGATTCATTCTCTTCTCCACTGTAACTAATTGATTTAAATAAGACCTGTCATAGTTGTACAGATCCTACCCTATTGGCCACACAACAGATTCCTCTGGGAATGAGCACTTGACCAAAGCTGAGATCACTGTAATATACCTCTCCATGGGTATAGTTGGTTCAATAAGGGATGTAGGTACACTTGACCCAAATGAAACTAATCAGAATTCTTTCCCAGGGCTTTGAAA
The DNA here is from genome assembly GCF_000001405.40 of Homo sapiens. Lineage (NCBI taxonomy): Eukaryota > Metazoa > Chordata > Mammalia > Primates > Hominidae > Homo > Homo sapiens. Next base: position 59,415,882 of record NC_000001.11, on the reverse strand, counting down.
ACAGAAAGGAGAAAGCACAGTCAGTTGCTCTCTGTTGTAGAAGCTACGGTGTTATGAGCTTGAGAACTTCCAGTAGCCGTGTGGTAGAAGCTGGGCAACATGAATAAAGACAGCATTTACAAGACAATGCTAGACACTGACCTGGAGATGAATAAAATTCAGTCCTGGACCTAGAGGAGACCACAGTCTAGTGGTGGAGAAAACCGCAAAACAGTGTGATAACTGCTAGGGGCAGCCCAGGAGCTGCAGGAGCTCAGAGGAGAAGCATCTGAAGGGCCAAAGGCTTCCTGGGGATGGGGCACTAGACCTGAATCCATGGGCACATCGTAAGAAATGACATACACGTTCACTCTAGTCTGTCCATAGTCAAGTCAGCTATGCTGCAGCTGTGAATTCACATACCTCAGTAACCCAGAGAAGGCAATATTAGCCAACAGTAATAATTTGAAGGCAGTACTAACATATTTCTAAATAGCACTTATGGATGTCTGGTTTTCTGATGACAGAAAATCTGGAATACAGAAAAATATAATGAAGAAAAAAATCAACACTTGTTGTGAAATCACAACACAGTTTTATTTGTCTTATATAGGAAAACAACTTTATTGAGGTATATTGCTCACATTTTAATAAAACTTCTTTCAGCCTTTTCCAAATCTGCAAAAAAACACTTAAGTATTTTCATTTTTGATCTTCCCAAAGCTTTTTGAGATAGGCATTTGCCCTTGGCCCCACCAGACGGCAAAGAAATCGGTGCCTGCTGACCTTGAGCTGAGGGTAACTCCGTTAGCGAGTGGGGCAGATGTGATCCTGTCCCAGACTCACTGACTCTAAAGCACAGCCACTACCACCACCACCTCACTCCTCCACAAATATCTGACCACAAGAACCAACCACACAGAAAGAATGCCCAGATGTCCCAGACATCTTCCATGTGCTCTTCAAATTCAATCTCTAACTTTCTCCACCCTGCCTTGTAAGCCAGGATGCTGATGGGTGTGGAGCACACCAGAGGGCTCTTCTGCCTCTGGCCTCCAGCCAGGTTCAGCTAATGGAGGACACAGAGGGATATCAGTGGACTAGGAGAAAGTGTAGGATGGCTGCAGCTCTCCACCAAAGGTCACAAAGGTAAGTACCTCCACAAAACAATCTCCCCAGGGCCTGCTCGTAGCCCCTCTCCTTGTTCCTTAGGCCCAGAGAGAGTACCAGCCCCACTTTAGATAGCCAAGCATCTTGCACTATCCATGTGGTTTCCCTACACTTGTCCACTCTTCTCGGATTACCCCATTTAAATGTGCCACCTGTTTCACGCAGGATCCATGGCTGATACACTGACAAACAGAAGGGACACAGGTGCCCCCAGAGGGTTCTGGATGAACTCCAGAGGGTCCTCTCCCACCTTAATGCTGCCTCACAATGGCAGCTTCCAGAGGGAGAAGATAAAGAGCAGCTATCCTTATGTGAAGATGAAGATTAAGTGCATTATCCATCCCCTTCCTTGAAGTCCTGCCTCATCTAGATACCCCAAATGAACACACATTTCCAGGTAACAAGAACCTGGATAAAGGCCTACTTGTGGTGAGGACTTAAAGATGGAATACAGTATGCCAGGTCACCACAAATCAACCTTTCCTTGCCACCTGCACCCTTAGTCCTCTTTCTGGGCCTTCAAAAGCTGAATTTCCTGAACAAACAGAATAGAGCAAATTAATTATGGCACAAGGAAGGTAAAGGCTGTCAACCTGAAGTTTCATTTTCCCTTAACTAGTACAAACAAATGTCAAAACAGTCATGACAAGAAGAATTCAACATATTTTAATACAGTTAGTTATTCTAATAATTTCCTACTTTCCAGCAGATTTTTGTCCCCAGCTCCATGTAGAAGGGTCCAGCACTGCCAAATCTGTTTTTTGGGTTTTTTTGAGATGAAATCTCACTCTATTGCCCAGGCTGGAGCACAGTGGTGCAATCTCGGCTTGCTACAACTTCCACATCCCAGGTTCAAGCAATTCTCATGCCTCAGCCTCCCAAGGAGATGGGACTACAGGCATGTGCCACCACGCCCAGCTAATTATTGTATTTTTTGTAGAGACGGGGTTTTGCCATGTTGCCCAGGCTGCTCTCAAACTCCTAGCCTCAAGCAATCCGCACACCTCGGCCCCTCAAAGTGCTGGGATTACAGTCATGTGTCTGGCCCCAAATCTGGAAAGCTGCAAGTCTGGGTTTTTTTTTATGTTTGGTACCTAAATGAATTTCTTAAAAACTAAATAAATAAGCATGAAATAGCTGAAACAATATGCATCTATGAGCAGAACTTGCTGACTGCCACTGTTATTCATGCACTGAGAATCTCTAAGCATTCATCACAGTACTCTGAATGGTTATACTCCTGTCTCACCCACAAACAAGACAACGCCTTAAGGTCAGGTCACTGTCATTTATTCACTGGCTCTTTCATTTATTTATTTCAATTCATATATCATTTTTCCTCTTTCTCCCATGTACTCATCCATTCATCCATCCAACTCATCAATAAATAGATTTAAATCCCTATAAGCACTTTGTTGGGAATACAAAGTAAACAAACATAGTCCTGCCCTCAGAGTGCTCCTAGTCCAAGAAGGAGAGATGCAGGTGAACAATTCTAAGGCGTACACTGACATCACTATTATAAATGAATACTGTGCTCAAAGCACAGCACACCAACAACAGAAAAAGGACTTAAAATGTCCCTGGGGGTGGAGAGCTGCTTTAGATGAGATCTGAGCTAAGGATAGAAATCTGCCAGCTTGGTAAGTCAGAGAGGGCATTCCAGGTCAAAGAAACAATCTGTGCAAATGCATGGGAGTTGGAAGAAAGGTGGCACAATCTGAAGAATCATAGGAAAGCAGTTCTAGTGCAAAACAGAAAATGAGGGCTCTTGCACTTCCTCTTTCCTGTGAATAGATCAGTCTTCTCTCAGCCCATTTCTTCTTGCTGACCCCTTATCAGTTCAAATGTCATTTCCTCAGAGTGTATGTGGTAACCATCCCAATGCCAGGCCCCACGTGGCCCACTCTCTGCCCTCTCCCTGTTGCATTTTCTTAAAAGCACTTATAATTCAGCTGAATTGGTTTTATTTAGTTATTTCTGCTCCCCCAAATACAATAACTTCTATAAGATCAAGATTTTTGTCTACCTGTACACAATGTCTCACACAGGGAAAGTCTCAATAAATAAGGTGTAAATGAATGAATGAATTGGAATAAATGAATGAAAATGTGATAGTGTGAAAGTTAAGAGATTATAGAGAAGGAGTTTAAACACTGCACATCTTTTCCTGGGTCCCCGAGACAGCAGACCCAAGGAAGAGGGTTCTACTGCATCAGGTAGTGCAATCTTAGGGAGAAGGAGAGGACTGATAGACAAAGGGAATAAAACAAATAATAAGGAGGGGGAGGCAAGATGAAGTTGTGGTATCAAGATGGCCCCACTAGAAGTGACTCGTTCTCTATCCCATAGGATCATCCTCAACCTCTCCACACCCCAAGCCACATGAACTGTATCTCAGAACCATCCACGATAGAGAGAAAGGAGGCATTAATTCTCTATCCAGGTTGTACATGTGTGGGAACAGAGTGAGATCCAGAGGTAGCAACCACAAGGAAACCCCATGGAACCTCGTGGGGTGCCCTATGGAAAAGCATGCAGCATGAGGTGAGGTACTGTCAGCTTATACTGTAGGAAGTTTTTCAGAGTCTATGCAAACTTGGTCACGGCAGCTGGAACAAGAGATGGTACAATTTCCCTTTACTGTCCTCCTGAGAAGATCTGATATGGGGCCAAGAGATGTCTGATATGCAGTAATAGAAGAATTAAAATATCTACTGCTTTAGCAATGACCTAAGTGACGGAAGTGTCAGTGCACTGGGGAGAGTGGAAATCATATTATAGTGCATGAAGGAGTGACTGAGAGGAATGGATGCAGAACAGCAAGAGGAGGCTTCTCTCAGGGTTGGAGCAAGTAAAGCACAAAGTGGTATCTTCTGGCACCAGAAAGCAAAAATGCCTTAAAAAAGATGGAGACATGTCAGAAAGATAGAAAAGCTAATTTGAAGGGATCCCCATTGGTTAAAAGGACTATTTGCAAAACAAAATAATGATACTAATGGATTATAATCCAGACAATAAAATAAGAATTTGTAAGTACATACTGATACAAATAAACAACTGAATGAATAAATAAGTGTGTGGCGAGGATAAAGCCACCTACAAAGCATTCCAGTTAATAAATATAGAAAGAATTATAATCATAGAAAAACACCATATGGAAAAACCACAGGAATAATTGTTTCAGGCAAGAATTTACAATAGTTGCTAAAATTAGTGGACAAAGGTATAAGAAGCATGATATTATACATAATCTCAAAGTATCTCCCTACAAGGTAATCATTAATTACAAATGGAAAAATAGTAACTTTACAGTGGATAAACTGGAAGACACAACCTTAACAAATTGGCCAAAGTTCACATCACCTGTGATACGATAAATCGGCATCATGTGCCTCCTGCTGTGATGCACTGTGAAAGGCACAACATCATTTCTGTAGCTTCCCTGCCAAAAACACATAATTTGAATTTAATATTGTGGAAACATCAGACCAACCCAAAGTGAGGGACATTCTACAAAATGCCTAACCAGACTCCAAAAACGTCATGGTCATGAAAGACAAAAAGAGTGAGGAACTATTCCAAAGACAAAGGAGATATGACTAGTAAATGTATTGTGTGATCCTAGATTCTGGTCCAGGAAATGAAACAGTATGACAACTGGCAAAACTAGCAAAAAGTCTGTAGACTGAGTAATAGTATTATGTGAATGTTAACTGGCTGATTTTGATAGTTATACAGTGATTATGTAAGATGTTGGTAGGAGAGAAAGAAAGAAGTTGGGATGGGAAGAGTGACACAGAAGGTTCCCATAGTAACTAAAATTAATCTAATGCTTCAATAGGTGATAGGTACATGGATACTCATTATATTATTCTTTTAACCTTATATATACATTACATTTATTTTGTATATATGAACACATTATAATATTTTTTAATGAGAAGATATTAAAATACAATAAAAACAAAAAGAACGTCACCATGGTCTTCTAGATTCAATTACCTGCCCGAGCCTCAGAGTCTGAGCCCTGTTCTCTGTTAGAATTGTAAAAGGCATACTGGCACCTAACTGAGACTTCCTCTTTCATGTAACCAGATGGTTGGTAGGACAAGTGAAAGGGAATTACTTTTTCACTATGGGCATCAATGTTCTTTAACACCCTATCCCTATACCATCATCAATAATCTTACAGACCAATTATAGTTCTCACATGTGCCCCCAGGGATACATGTCCCATATACTGAGTGGAAAGAACATAATTTTATTGTAAGAGGTCTTAGGTTCAAATCCTCACTCCTCCACTTACTAGTAGTGTGATGTGGGCAAGCAAGTGACTCAACCTTTCTGAGTGCTTTCTCAGATATAAATTTGAGAAAACTTCACAGAGTTGTCATAAGGTTAACCTAGAAGAACATGTGTAAAGACCAAGTACCGTGCCTAGTACACACAGATATTCACATATGGTAACAAGATCCATCATCATTGTTGTTACTATCTTTGTTTCTCAGAAAACTGAAACTAAGAAAGCAAGCCTACCTCTGCTTTAAATACCTATAATGCTAGAAATGAAATGAGATTGCAACAGAGCATGAAAGACAATACCTTTGCATTGATTGCCACATATCTACCATGTCTATTTCAAGTGGCCTCATACCAATGGCCTTCCTCTTAATAAGGACGGCTGGTGTAGTGGGCATGGCATAAGTTCTGGAATCAGACCTGGGCTCAAATCCTGGTGTCACCTACTGTGTCCTGTGTGATCTTGAGCAAATTACCTAACCCTCTGTATTGCAGGGATTTCCTGTCTAAAATGGAGGTAATACACCTTCTTCACATGGTTCCTATCAGAATGTGCACTACATAGATGCATATTGCATAAAACAATGCCTAACACATAATGGATACTCCATAAAACTTAGTTATTTCATTTAACTAAGATATTACCAGAAGGAAATTTCCAAAGAAGGGTCATGTAAACCAAGGAGGAAATGAAGCACATGATGAAATAGAAAGACAATCTACTAACTGATTAATCTGGTCTCAATGTAACCCTACTTAGGCCTTAAGTTTCTGTAACCTCCCAGAGCTTTAGTTGCCTTGTCTGTTTATATATATATATATATATATATATAAAAAACTCTTCCTTCACAGGCTTGCAATAAGGGTTAGTTGAGGTATGAAAGTCCTTTCAGTAGTGCTGGGGACACATTTGGAGAACAATGCACACAAGCTGGAACTCAGAGAAGCTGCATGGAAACTCCCGAAGCCTCCTTATGCCTCTTGCTCCCTTTCTCAACGGCTTGAATAATGGCTGAACATTCAAGGCTGAAGGTCTGGAAGCAGTTATCCCTTCAGTCTTTTCCTGTCTAAACCATCCACAGGCCAGGCCCCTGGGCCTCTCGCAGAGGAAATAAAAGTCCATATGAAAGGGACAAATGAAAGTGTCCTTATGCTTTCTAAAATCCACACTCCCCTCCAAGCTGCAGCACAACTTCTATCAATTTTTTTCTGAATTCTGCCTTCTAAAACCTTTGTTTAATCCTCCTAAGCAACCCAAGAAAAAAATCATAATTCTATGTGTATGTTAGCTTTCAGATACTTCCTAAAGCATAGATATAAATGTCATATCCTGACTTTGAAGGAAAAATCTAAGGACAAAAGAGGGATTAGAAATTGTGAGATGGGGGAGGATGGAGATTTGAAAAAGAACTTAGGTTAAGGTTACATGGATAAAAGTTAAATAAGAAAACAAAAGTCCAGTTAAGGCTGCCGTGGTTAAAGTTACAAATAAAAGCAAACACTTCATAGATCTCTAGTTCGCGAACCCAAGAAAGCTCTGTGGAAGCTCTCCTGAGCTTGAACAACAGGCTAATTTTCAAGCAGAAATCAAAGTGGTTGGGCCTCTGGACAAATAGCTTGAAAGCCCATGCATAAGCCTGGTCTCAGAGAGTTAAAAGGAATGCAGACTGCCCCAAAACACACCAGCCGTTTGTTTTTTCTGCCACCTTTCCAAGGGTCATGTCTGGAGTGAGGATAAACAGTTCTGGGGAAAAAAATGATGTGAAGTACAGACTTTAAGAAAATTAAACATTAGAAAAACATTTCTTAAAGAGTTATACATGTGCCTGCATATACATATATATTTAGAGAGACAGAATATTTATACATATACATGCGTGCACACATATGTGTGCCAAAATTATCCAAACTCTGTAGGTTTTCAGGTATGAATAAGAATAGCTAAGATAAGCCTTTGAAATGCTGTTATGTTTTTTAAGCAAGATCAAAAGTGTCTACAAAGGCATTCCAAAAACAGCAAAAGGTGTCTGAGCAACATTTCAGTTTTATTTAATAAGTAAAGATTAAGCTGAGTGCTTTTGGTTATTATTAACAGCATATTAATAGCATATTTTATTCTAGGTTGCTTAGAAATGTATTTGCAAAGTCCCAAATAGAAGACCTAGGAGAAAGAGAGAACTTACTGGGTGCCAGGAATTGTGCTATCTGCTATTTATGCAATGTCCCATTTTTCCAGCACAACAAACATAAATGGTATCAGGTTCTCAAGCCAACACAGCTTGCAGGTGGCAAAGCCCAATGCACTTGCCCCAGAATTCGAGTTTTTCTCCATCATGACACCACATGGCCTCCCAATGAAATGCTGAGAGTCAAGGCAATCTTTTCTAGTATTACTTATGAGAACAAAGAAATATTCCGTATTCCTGGGAAAACAAAATACCACAGCAAAGTAAAGAGTACCTTTCCTGTGATTTCCACTTTAGCAGAAAGCAGATGAGAAACCTTTTGGTCCAAGAGTTAAAACAAGATGATGAACAATTTACATGTAGTAGGCAATAAATATTTAATGCCACTTGGTACAGCGGTTCTTCAAAAATGTCTTCCAGCTCTGAAGGCCTTTCTGTTAATCCACACTTCAGGGGGTGCAGCCATGGCTTGAGGAAAATACATTTTTAATAAGGACTGTGCCAACACAGGGGGCTTAAAATGCTGTATAGCATTCCAGTTTTTAGAGCCCTCAGGGAATCTCACACTCTGGGGGAAAAGGGTCCTAATGTGAAGAAGTGAATGGAAAGAGGCCAGAAAAAATTATATCCTAGGGAAGGAGGCCCTGTTAGAGCCTGGTCAGGATAACTATCAGAATATTTTTTTTTCTCTCTCCCCGTGGATGAGCTAGTCAGGTTCAAGGGAATCATATTCCAGACAAATAAGCTCAGGACAAGAGGCACCGGCTGCTTTCCAAGCATTGATGGCATCTTAGCTGCTTAATCTGTGCCTGCAGAGCTGCAACATCACACACTCAGTGTGCAGGCCCTGGTGTCGAACCACCCCCTCCTCCCTTTTCTCAGGCGGTCTTGTAAAGTGTTGGATCTTTGCTACCATTCTCTCATTTTTTGTCTTGCCTTGGCTTTTAAATCTGATGCTCTACCCAGGGGACAGGGAAGAAACTCAGAGATCAGCATCAGCAGGAAGCTTCTTCCACCCATCAGCTAAAAGGACAAAGGAAGAAGGCAGGGCTAAAGCTCGAGACCCAGGACCAACCAGCCGATGACAGAGCCATGGAGGACCCAACCTGCAGGTGGGATAGCTGTAGAGGGGCCACTGCCAGAGATGCTGCCCAAGGCAGACAGAGGGAGGGACAAATACTCCAGCTTCTCTTTCTCTTGCCTTGCCATCTCCCACTGATGACAAATTGTCAGGGGGCAGGGGTCAACCCCCTGTAACACAGCACCCTTGCAGAGCAGGGCAAGGGTGACAAATGGATCTCAGTGCAAACAGCCCAAAGGCCAACACAATTGATAAGTTAAAAGACAGGTTGCAGAATCGTGTATCATGTGATATCATAATTGCTAAATATATGCATATATAATTTAAGTAAATATATGCATATCATATACACACAGATTGAGGTAACAAGAGATGGAAAGATCAAGCAAGAGCAAGGAGAAAAGGAGAAAGATACATGGCTGACCTTATTATTTTTGGTAGTCTCCAAAAACATTAAATTAGGGAACACTGGACCATTGTTCCTAAGGGAAATACAGGGCTAGGTTCCTCTGAGCCTCCAGTTATATTTTTGCCAACTCATCAATACGCAACCCTGTTTCATGTGTATTCTTGCTTAAAAACAACTCATTTAATATATATTGTTGAGTCAATAACACTGAACTTACAGCCAACAGCACTTAACTCCTGCCTGAATGAAGCTTATCAAACACACGTTATTGTCTCTGTAAGGCACATCGCAGCTTTCTTGCACTGTACTTGAACACTACACAGTACTTTTGCACAATGCTTGGGGTGCATTTTAAATGGTGAAATCGCCAACAAAAAGCACAAAAATGAGAAAAACATGGCACGAGTAGACTTCGAAAAGGACACTTGTTTACACTATGAGAGCTGAAACAAGAAGGCAGGGTGTTGTGTTATTTGCCATCGGCTAGGAACACGCATGACGAGAGACTCAGAAATTATCCTCCTCTCTGAGCATTTCTGCGAATGACTGTGAAAGTGCCACAAGTATTGATTTGAGGGTTACAAATAAGATTTAGTAAGTAGGCAAATTTGCAAACAAAGAATCTGCAAATAATGAAGAATCAACTGTCTATTAACAGGCTTAAAAAAGCTTTTTAAAAAACATTTGTTCCTGGAAAATAGGAGATAGAATGCTTTTTGTTTCACTACATTTTTGTCTTCTTTTCTATCTTATTGTTCTCTAGTTTTTCTTCATTGAGCTTGCAATTAAGTGGGGAAGAGGACTCTAAATATCAGATTTCAAAAAGAAAAAAAAAAAAGCTAGGGGAAAAAGCACTAAGAAGTAGAATAATTTAGCCTAACGGGAGATCATCGTAACATAGCACCAGAGAGCAGAGCAGGTCATCCTCACTGTGTGACATGAGGAGCAGTCTCAAAGTGTTTCCCACACCAAATTTCTACCACTCCTCTAGCCAACCAACCAAGTGGGGCAAATGACTAAGGTCGACTGGGGGGTAGGCTAAAGGTGGGAGGTTCATACAAGTTACCTTCCTGAGTAGGTATCTAACATTCCATGGGACAGGTTAGCCTGGACTTATAGACTCACACCTTCCCCATCCATCTCTAAAAAAAAATCTTATTTTATGCTCATTCGATGTTTACTAGTGAGATGATGTAAGTTTTAGTTCAATTCAGTAAATACCACTAAGCCCCTACAATGCAGAAATTATTGTACAAGGTGCTACTAGCCATAAAACACCTTTTTGTCAGGTTTTACCTGTTTTCTATGTACAAATCTACTCTAGCAACTCAAAAAATTAAAAATCTAATTTGTGAGATTCTTCAACTTCCAACCAGGAATAAGTTGCAGAATTGAAAAACCTGCAACCAGGAATAAGTTACAGAATCGAAAAAGCATCAGGATAGCACAAAAGCATAGTAATTTAGCTCTCTGTTCATTTCTTATGCCATTAACAAGCAACTTTTAATCTTTAATCCTCCCTCACTAAGCTGCTTTTACTATCCCATCTGCTCCTCTTGCTCATGCCTTCAGGATCTTATAATTAAATTCTAATTAAAGTTTAAGGCATGTAATAAAGAAAACACTTGCGGAATGCCTTTGATTCAAGAGGCCAAATAACATTTCAGCAGTTTGAAAAATGAATTATATCCTTTTGCTTAACAAGCATCTTTAAAATGGAATTAAAATGGGAAATTCCAATCTTTCGTGATTTCACCAGGCATACATTATGTAAATATGCTCATCATCACGTGTTGCATTTAAGTCAGCTGAAAACAGCCTGAAGAGAACTCAGCCCAGCATGCACAGCGTGGATGTGAGCTCAGCGGCAGTACGTGGAGAAGACCTGTCCTGAACACCACCTCGGTACCCAGACACACGGACATTGGTGTGGTGCAGCAGCATCTATCTAGCAGACACCCAGATGCTAGGTTCTCACCCTCCTCATCTAACTTCTCACCAAACTCAATCAAGCCTACCTTACCAGAAGCTTCCAGATCTGTCTCTTCTGCTCAGATTTAGCAGAAGAGACACTGGTTTAGCCCTCCAACATCCCTTGAATTAGTTCAACACTTCTCCCCCTCCAGCCTCAGCCCCCTGCTGCAATCCATGCTCCACTCTGGGAGGCCAACTACTGCCTTTCTGAGGCATCATTCTGATTGGGCTGTTCTACGCTCAACAACTACCTGTGCTCTATCTGCTTTAATAATTAGTGACCCCCAGCACTTTATGGATAACTCTATACCCTACTAAATAATTTTGATTTATTTAGTAGTCTATTTTTCCTCTAGTCTTTGAGCTAGCCTCTTAAGGACTGACGCTGTCCTGGAAAGAAAAAATGTATTTTTTTTTCTTAAGTTCCGGGATACATGTGCATGCCGTGCAGGTTTGTTACACAGGGAAATGTGTGCGTGGTGGATTGCTGCATCCATCAACCCATCACTGAGGTATTAAGCACCACATGCATTAGCTATTTATCCTGATGCTCTCCCTCCTGTGGCCCCGCCCCCCGACAGGCTCCAGTGTGTGTTGTTCCCCTCCCAAAGGTATATTTTTTTACCTGGAAAGTAAAAAAGGTAATTTACTTTATAAACTCAAACAACACTTATCAAACTCTTCCAGAAGCATCCAGTTCCCTTGCAAGTTGTATTTGGTTCTACTTTTTGACTACAGGTTACAAATTAAACATCATCATTATGAATTATATAATTTTATCTTATATAATTATTATTAATAACAACTGATGTGCCAGACACTGTTTGAAGTGCTTTACGATGTTATTCAGGTTCTCACAACCACCCTGTGAGGCATGTCCTATTATCATCTGAGATGAGGAAACTGAGAAACAGAAAGTTAAGGTACTTGTCCAAGATCACAGAGGTGTGAAGCAGAGAGGCCGGGGCTTACAGCCATGCAGTCTGGCTCCAGAGCCCACATCAGAAACACTCCTTAAGCCCAAAGCCTGAGTAAAGCACGTGAGGACTTTGTGTTCTCTTCTCTAAATGCTCCCCAACACACAACCTGTGATCTGGCTAGACTCACGTGCCCAACGCTTTGTGGATGCACCAAGGTCTTTCATGCCTCTGCTTTCCCATATGCTGTCCTTTTGCCAGGTGGCCCCCATACCCACCTGGCAGATTCTTGATCATCCTTCAAGTCCGAGTTCAGTCACTTCCTATCTTGTGAGGTATTTCCTCATTCCCTGGATAGACCTGATTGCTCTTCATTTTGCTACTACAGACTAGAATCTGCCAGACTCTTGTTATGGTGCTAATTATACTGCAATGCAATCGTCTGGAGGAGTCTGCTTTCTGCTCAGTGTCCCCTAAAGGCAGGGCACACAGCCGGACTTTACTAAATATGTGAGGAGTAAAGAAATGAATGGGTTCTCTACATTTGTACACTGGACATAGACAAAGCATAGTCTAGGCTTGTCAAAGTCAGTATAGAGAAAAATGTTACCTTCTCTGGTATGATTTATAGAGAGGAAGACAAAAATAAAAAAGTAATTTAATTTAAAAACTCAAAAAGCACTTGTCAAACGCTTTCAGAAGCATCCAGCACACTGGTAACTCATAGCTTCTTTTACTCTTTGACTATCAAAATGTGTCAGTCCCTTTCTTCCACAACTCTATAACCTTTAAGAGGGGCCCCATCCAGACCATGGCAAGCCCCAAAACAATAGGCTTAGACTCACACGTGACAGTCTGGACTTGACAGTGCAATCTGTATCCTAGCAATGAGTCCTGGGCCTCAGGAGCCCGGGACCCCCATACCCAGGCTTTCCTGATGCTTGCCCTCTCAGGGAGGTAAGCATCTTCACCCAGACTTGATGGGTACTCCAGAGCTCTACTAAGAATGAAGCCTTTTCCATGACCCTATGCCCCTATGATTCTTACTTCGTTTTGCCAAATAATCCTCCCAAGGAATGTTACTCCCTCACCTCCCAATACTAGCTTGTTTCTGTTCCTGGTGGACCAGTCACTCTGAACCACAGAGCTGCTACCCTGTCTCAAGGCTCAGTGTCCCTAATGCCTGGAAATCCCTAAACCCTGTTTCCTGCTTAGTGAATAATTACCAAGCTTATTCCAAATACTAAGCAATATGTACCAATAAATAGTAACTCTTTTATATAGCTGTATCTCAAATTCTTCAGAGTCCGCAAAAACATATAATTATATTAATTAATCCATTCAACAAATCTTTACCAAATGTCTACTATGCAACAGGCAAGATGATGTCAGATGACACGCCTACTATCACACTGCTGATAATTAGCAGAGGTCAAATATGCAAACAGATCTTTTCATCTCCTGTGATGTAGCCCACTCTTGGTCCTACATCTTTGTCCTTAAAGACATGAAGATGCATTAGGGAAAGGCAAGCACTCAGAAATC